>NC_000011.10:33544848-33696363 GCF_000001405.40 Homo sapiens | reverse complement strand
GAGAAGGTTTTTATTAAGATGGGAGAAATAACCATGGCCTGAGAGAAATGACCCAATAGAGAGAGAAAAAGTGATGATGTAGAAGAGATCTGGGAAATTGCTGGAATCGTGTCCTTGAGTGGTCAAGAGAGGTGGTGTCTTAGTCTGTTTTGTGCTGCTATAACTCCACAGACTGGAGTATCTATAAAGAACAGAAATTTATTCTCACAGTTCTGGAGGCAAGTAAGGTGGAGATTAAAGCACCAACAGTTTGGATCGTGATGTCTCTGCTTCCAAGATGACGCCTTGAATGCTATGTCTTCCAGAGGGGAGGAACAGTTAGCTCTGTCTTCTCATGGCAGAAGAGCAGGAGAGAAGAGGGAACCCACTCCAGCAAGCAATTTTTTTTTTTTTTTTTTGAGATGGAGTCTCGGTCTGTCGCCCAGGCTGGAGTGCAGTGGCGCAATCTCGGCTCACTGCAAGCTCACGCTTTTAATAGCGACATGAATTTATTCATGAGGGCTCTGCCTAGATTCTAAACACCTCTTCTTAGGTCTCTCCTCCCAGTAGTGTTACACTGAGGATTAAGTTCCCAACACATGCATTTTGGAAGGGACAAAAACATTCAAACCACAGCAGGGGGTATCTAGTTTACAGTAAAGAGATTGGCTTTTGAGGGGAGCCGAGATGGCTCATTTGTAGTAACAGGAGTTACATCTGTGGCATGGGGGTGCAGATGCCGGTAGATGGGTAAACGGGGAGGTGGGAACCCTAGAAGTTGCGTACACATACACAAAAGTTTGTCTAGCTACCTCTATCTTGAGGACACAGAGGCACATGCCTACAAGGTCAGGCTGGAAACCTGGAACAGCGGCCAGGAAGCCAGGTGGAAACTGGCAAGTCACAGAGCTCGTGCCCCCACTACAGGGGCAGCGGACACCCAGCTCCAGCTTGTTGTTGCCAGGGCAGCAGTGTGAGCACAGGGCCAGGTGAAAGCTGCTGGTTTCTAAATCTTAACAATGAATTCAAATGTTTCCAAAACACTAGGCAGGCCAAGTAAAATAAAGGTGGAAAGTCCCCAGACATGTTAACCTCTGCTTTACACACAGAAACCCTCCTACTCCAGGCAGAGATTCCAGGCCCTTCTGGAATCCAGATATTGATTCCAGGAATCAATATCTCCCCAGGAAGAAGCCAGATTTGAGCCCTAGGCTGGTTGCTACCAGAGAAGCTCCTTTGTTCTCCCAGAAAACTTCAGGCTGGCCAGGCCAGAGGGCAGTGAAGGGCGCAGGGTGGGGGTGGAGAATCTTAATAAGAATAAATGGGAACAAACCAGGCATCAGGAAAACCAAGTGCAGAGCTCAGATGGAGACAGAGATGTCTGGCATGGCCTTGTTTCTTTCCCCAGAGTCCCAACAGCCCTCCCTAGGCCATATTCCTTAAAAGTGCCCAACTGCTAAGTGCAAGCCATGTGCTGGGCACTAAGGGAGTCGGTGGAGTTGAATAATTTAATTCTCACTGCCAGCTGGTGAAACAGATACTGTTCTTGGCATGTTTTACAAATGAGGAAGCAGAGGCTCAGAGAGGGAAAGTGGCTTACCCACAGGCACATGGCTAGGATGTTGCAGGGTTGGGTTTAGAACTCAGGTCTATCAAGGCTACCCCAACCTCTCCTTCCACAGTGAGGTGCCAATACAGGAGAAGCTTGAGGTGAGCCATAAAAAAGAAGCATCCAGCATTTCTTCCAGGAACTCTCATCCCCTTGGAGCTATCAGGTGTCCTCTTGATGCCCTTAAAATGGTGGGTGGCAGGGCAGGACCATTGGGGATGATGACGCAACACTTGCTTGCCCCTGACCCCTCAGTGCTCACACACACACCTGTGGGTGGAGGGGGCGGGGAACACCTGCAGTAGGTACAGTCTCCTGTCCTGAATCCCCTGTGGCAGCTGAGACCAAGTCTTCTGGAGATGGCTGCACCAGGCTGCCACCACTAGACACTATTCACATCAACCGACAACTTTCTCATTTCCTGCAGACCCAAGCCAGAGAAGATACATAGGTTCATATCGCAAGTACTAACTCCCATCTGCACTTGGGAGCTCTTGTGGAGAACTGGAGACCTTAACTGAGCTCAATGGAAACCAGTACCACCATGGGGGTATGGGGGCCCATGTGCCATTCCTGTGGTACAAGTCCTTTTAATCCAGGTTTAGCTTCTGGGTCTCCAGTTATAGAGAGAAAAATCTGGAAAAGAACAAAGAAGAGTTCACAATACACTAAGGGAAATATAATCAAAATAGTTTCACTTACGATGAATAAGTTCTGGAGCTCTACCTGCAGCATGATGAATATAGTTAATAATTGTTGCATACTTTTAAAAAGCAATGTAATAAAAGTCATCAACACTTACTGGCAGTTTGTAGGTATCACATATTATATTAGGTTTTTTACATGGACCATCTCACTCCATCCTTATAATGACCTTTCGAGGTGGGGACTGCTGTCCTCATTTTACAGGTGACTAACATGGAGGCACAAAGAGGTAAAGTAATGTGAGTCTGGTATTGCAGCTAGTAAATAGGAGAGGTAGAATTCAAACTCAGGGCTGACTCCAGAGCTTGTGTTCTGGTCCGCTGGGCCCACAAAGCCTCCTGTGAGCATAATGAACAGAGCAGTGTGGGGAGTACAGAGGGAGGTCCACCAGGTTCCTGCAGGAAATGCGTGGAACACCCAAATTGGCTAATTTGAAGAGCGTTTAATAAAGGGATTATGCTATAAACTGAATGTTTGTGTCCTTCCAAAATTCATATGTTGAAACCTAATCCCCTGTGCAATAGTATTAGGAGGTGGGATGTTTGAGAGGTGATTAGGTTATGAGGGTGGAGGGTGGAATGAGATTAGTGCCTTTATAAAAGAGGCCCAGCAAGCTTATTCACCACTCCTACCTTCTATGAACTAGGAAGCTGGCTCTTACCAGCCACCGAATCTGCTGGCATATTGATCTCGGACTTCCCAGCATCCAGAACTATGAGAAATTTCTATTGTTTAGACACCACCCCGTCTATGGTATTTTGTTATATCAGTCTGAATGGACTAAGACAGAGTGTTTACAAAGGTGCAGGCAGGGAATGCGGATTATCACCCACCGAGCTGTTGCTAACCCTAGGCGGGTAGGTGTGAGAGGAGGGAGTGGTTGCCAGAACCTGAGAACAGACAGGGCTGTGTGGAAAGGGTCCTTCATAAGTGTGACCCTTGTCTAGGGCCACAGGTAGCCCACAGTGACCCTGCTGAGGGGGAGCCCCTGCAGGGAGGGAGCCCCTGCAAGAGACAGATGGGGAGCACAGTGAGGTCAGGTCTTCCAATACATGTAAATACTGGTAGGGGGTGGTTTTGGTGTTGGCTAGGTTGCTTCCCACAACTTGGCAAGAGAGAATGGGGTTGATAGTTTGGTAGTATTACAGCCAAGGTCCCAGAAATGCCCACACTCAGGCCTGCCACCTCCCCAGTCACCCCATGGCTTGGACTAACTTTGGGCACAGGTCCTGTTACCGTCGGTTGGTGGGATGTAATTGTCATGTAATTGACAGCCCCTCAGAACAAAATGAAACAAAAGAGGCTGTTCCTCAAAGAAAAGGGCGCTTGGCAGAGGAAAGCAATAGAGAGCTTGATTGAGAGAACACCACATGCAAGGAATAATAGATAAATGCAGTGGTGTGCCGGAGCCAGTTTCTATGGGCTCACGAGAACTAATTGCCAAATTTTCAGGAATGTTATGAGCTGGTTATTAAATACAACCATTATTAAAAATTTAACCATATCAACTTTTAATTAAATCATATTTAAGACGAAGGTAACAAATATTCACAATTCATCACTTCCTAATTATTTTGCTACAGTTCTCTATCATCTGTACTCCTGAGCTCATTTATGCCTGTTGTGTCTGTGTGGTCGAAATACTACATAATGGTGTGCTAATGTGCATATCTTCTGAATGATGTCATGTGGGGTTTTTTTAAACTGGCCACGGGGAGTGTATTTACAACAAGGAAATTGGCAAATGTACAAATCAGGGTTGGCTCCCTCGGACCTCCACTGAGAAGAGCTGGTTGAAAAGAGTTTACCAGCACGCCACCAGCGACATGAAAAACAAAAGCCCCGCTTTATTTGTGGCTGAGCTAGAAGGAAAGCTGTTTTGGAGCATTCAAAGCTGGGATGATGGTATAAATGAAGCTCGCTGCTTCCTCTGGCTTGATTTGCCCACTCAGTGCCAGACAGGAAAGAGGCAGACAAGAGCCTGATTCACCCGTCCGTGGAGGCAGGCTTGTCCTGGGTCTGACTATTGCATGAACTCAGGGAAGAAGGAAAGCCCAACGTGCTGACTTTATTTTTTCTTTTTAATGCTTTTTAGAGACAGAGTCTTGTTCTGTCGCCCAGGCTGGAGTGCAGTGGTGTGATCTTAGCTCATTGCAGTCTCGAACTCCTGGGCTCAAGTGATCTTCCCACCTCAGCCTCCCAAGTCTTTGGCTAATTTTTAAATTCTTTTGTAGAGGTGGGGGTCTCACTTTGTCTCACCACCAGGCTGGTTTTGTACTTCTGGGCTCAAGCAATCCTCCTGCCTTGACGTCCCAAAGCACTAGGATTACAGGTGTGAGCCACTGCACCTGGCCCCCATGTCCTGACCTTTAAGATGTAGTAAACCTATCCACTGGGAAAGTGGGGTCAAAGGAATTGTCCTGGACTCTGGCCAGTCAGATCAATTAGCGATCTTTACTTTCAAGAAACTAGGGTAGAGGGAAAGCTGAGGTAGAGGCCTGTAGATGGAGGCTGAAGGCCTTCTGCAGTGCTGACTGTTTGGGCAAGATGAAGCATGAAACCTGATAGAACAGATAACCAGCTCTTTATATCATGATCCTTTCATCATAAGCTTATTACTCCTGAGAGAAATATAGACTTCAAGTGTGATGGGAAGACCTCCTGCTACCTTATCCAAGTCACCTGTGCCCACCCTCTGTGCCAAAGCGGTCAGGCAGGGTTCAGTGGAAGTCAGCTGGGAACAGAAGGAAGAGACATTTAATTACTGCTTTACGGCTTTTGTTCTCACTGGAGGTAAATACCTTGTTGGTGCCTCAGGGAATATTGGCCTTTTCCTTTGAACTCTGTCCTGATTCTGACATTAACCAGATCTGCGACCTTGGGAAAGTTACCCAGCCTCTCACAGCCTCTTTCCACATCAGGCAAATGGAGACGCTGCTTTCACAGGATGGGGGCTGGGAGTGGGGACAACAACAAAAAATGACAGATGTGAAACTGCCCCAAACTGGGAATCATTTTAATATTATTTTCCTGTTTGTGTAGTACACAGCCCTCATTGTTGAGTCACTGGTGCTGGAAGTGGTGGTGGCCACGAGATGTGAGCTGGAGGGAGGCCCAGTCCACAGGGAGGGAGAAGCATTCAATGCGCAGGCCCTGGAGCTCAGCCCCATAAGCAGCGACAAAGGGGGTGAATATGGCTGGGAAGCAGTTTGGGGAAGAGGGGTTTGTTTTCTAGAGGGAGCCAACCACATTCCTCCCAGGCAGTATCACATGGCCCACACCCAACAGACAAGGCCAAGGGCATGGCCTCTCTGTAGGCAGTCCCCAAAAGGAAGGGTGGATGGTCACCACCCAATCCTGTCATTCTGTCCACACCAGCGCATGAGCATATCCGAGAACATATCTGTGCCGAGCTGCCATGAAAGTGACTAAATAGTAATAACTTGCATTTGTCAGACTTCCCACCTAGCAGAAGTTTTGTGATTCATGAGGACATCCTGTTTCTGAGTAAGGAATCTTATCGTGATTTCCTTAAACTGTTGACATAGTGGTTAATGCATGCCTGACATGGAAAAGGATGCTGATTTGCTTCTGAATCATGAAGTTTTGCTGATTTGTTTCTGAATCATGAAACTTTGCTGTCTTGCCCGTAGACATTTTAGCCTGTAGGTTGTCATCTGTAGCCAGTGACTAATCTCTCTATTATACCTTCCAATAACAAAAAGACAACTCTTTGTATGAAGAGTCCTCCTCCCCTCTTCTAAACCTTCCCATAAAAGCTTTCTAACTTGTAACAGACTCTAGGACACTCCCAGCTTTGTTGGTGTGTCTTCCTGGGTCGATCCTCACATTTGGCTTCCAATAAACATTTATCAAGTTATTTCTGGTGAAACAGCTGTAATTTCAATCGACAATAGGAATCCAGAAAATCTATGATGCAAAGCTGAAGTATCACCTATTCCAGGTGCTCTTTGGTTTTGGGGGGAAACAGGCCACTCAAACTGACTTACTTGAGTAAAGAGAGTGACTGGCAATGGGCTTCTTGGATCACAAGCAATAGAAACTAAACTAAGGGAAATTTAAAAAGGCATCATCTGAACAAGGAAAGCAAAGGAATGAGGTGCTGCCACTGGACAACTCAGCTCCAACTACCAGTTCTTAGAAAATGTGATTGGCCCAGCTCGGGCTACGTTTCCATCTCTGTCCATGTTGCGGAGGAGGTGGCCAGGGTCCTGTGGTTGCATCCCCACCAGAACCACTTGGAACTGTGGAGCAGCTGCTTCCCAAAAGAAGGACCCTGGCTGCCAAAGATACATGGCTCCCTCATGGGCCTCGCGCAATTGGCACCAGGGCCTGGAAGCCACCAGGAGCCCAGGCAGCTCCCCTCCCATCTCTTTTTCACTGCATCCTCCTGCCTTTTGCAGTCAGCTTCCTTCCAACTTGGCTCCCAGGGAACTCACAAGAGTGGCATCAGGCTCCAAGTACACATGATCGCGAGCAGGCTGCTCTCCGTCTCTCATATTTTCTCCCCAAGAAATGGTAGTTGGAGCTGAGTTGTCCAGTGGCAACACCTCATTCCTTTCCTTCTAAATGTTCGGACGACACCTTTCTTAGTTTCCCTTAGTTTAGTTTCTGTTGCTCATTATCAAAGACACCCATTGCCAGTCACTCTCTTTACTTAAGCCAGGAGGAATGGCAGGGTGTGGCTAAGTATGCCCAGTTTATTCTTCCCCAAATTATGAATCACAAGTCCCCATCCATCACTGGGCATTGGGCGGGTAAAGAGGCAGGAAGAGGCCAGGACTCCCGTACTGCTCTTGGAAGGAAGCTGAAGGGAAGTGCTCCTCTCCCAACAGCATGGATGTCACTTCCTCCAGGAAGCCTTCCCTGATTCCAGTCCCCAGTCTGGGCTATGTGTCCCTTCTCTGAGCTCCCTTTGTACTCTGGGCATCCCCTTTCCTGGGACTTACTACCTGGATTATAATAGCCCATCAGTATGTCTCCCTAGCTCGACTGCGATCTTCTTAAGGGTAGGGCCTGTGTTGTCATCATCGTCATCCTGAGCACACGGTTTTGCACAAAGTGGACACTCCATGTGCTTAAGGAGCACGTTGCTGGCTGCGGATAGAGGGGAAAATGCAGTCTCAGCCTTGTGGTTTGACTTATGGTGGAAACGTCAATTGCATAAAATGATAAGAAAGGATGATCTAGATGCAATATCCTGGGACTCATCTGGGCCAAGTGCCTTTATGACAGGCTTGGGGATGGGGTCAAGATGTACCTTGAGTTCTTTACCAAGATTCAGAGACAGGCCTAAGACAGCTCTTTTTATCTGAGAAGTGGTATATAATTGCTGGATCTGGGGTCATACTGCCTGGGTTGAAATCCCAGCACACACCAGCTGTGTGACTTTGGACAAACTGCTTAACCTTTGTGTCTTTGTTTCGTCATTTATAAAATGAGGAGATTATATAGTACCCCCACTTCATAGGTTGCTATAAGGTTGAAGTAAGTTAATATGTATGAAGTACTCAGAACAATGCATAGTCCAAAGCCAGTACTCAATAGATGTTAATTATTCCATCTACTCATTCACAGAGTCAGCCAGGATTATCACTGTCATTTCAGAGTTTACCTGAATCCAGTACAAACATTCTGTAACTCTGAAAACAATGCATATAAACTAAGCCTGCATTCATTTACTCCTTTGTTTACTCATTTATTCATCCAATTGTTCTTTCAAAAAAAAAATAGATTCTTAACTCTCTAGGCCCTTTTTCTCATCTGGAAAAGGCGCACAATAATTCCCCCAGCCTGGGGTTGTTGCCAGTTACCTGAGATATGTATGTAAACTGCTCAGCTCATGATGTGACAAACAGCTAATGCTCACCATCATCTTTGCCTCTTTGGGTTCACTGGGCAATTTGCAACAAGGTTTCTGGTCATTAACACAAAATCCCCACATTTCTCTTATAGTGGGATCCACCAGGTGGCAGCATGGATTTAGACATGGGATGAAACGGTCTCCCCTTTCTAGTCCTCTCACATCCAGGGCTGACATTTATTAGCCTGTTCATTATAACCTAGGGAAAAATCCAATTTAGAAACCTTTTGGGAGGAGGAGACACTACAGCCATTGAAGGCTTTCATTGCAAAAATAAACAGGCACAGCACCTGGCCTTTCCCAGAGGCCTGCAGGTGGCTGTCTGCTGAGAGCCACATCTTACTCACCCAGGGAAAATCTGCTCTTTGTAGAACTGGTTTCAAGATGAAAAGTTCAGTTCACATGAACAAGAGAAGCTGGGCTGAACTCATTGACTCTTACTATGTGTATTGGTCTGCTTGGGCTGCTGTAACCAAATGCCACAGACTGGGTGGCTTAAAAAACAGACATTCATTTCTCACTGTTCTGGAAGCCGGGAAGTCCAAGATTAACCTGCTGGCTGATTTGGTTCCTGTTGAGGACTCTTTCTGGCTTGGAGATGGCTACCTTCTTCATGAGTCCTCATATGGCAAAGAGAGAGCTCTGGTGTCTCTTTCTCTTCTTATAAGGGCACTAATCCCATGATGAAGGCCCCACCCTCATGACCTCATTTAAACATAATTCTCTGTCTAAGGTTTCTGTCTCCAAATCCCATCACTTTGGGGGTTAGGGCTTCAATATATGAATTTAGCGGGGGACACAATTCAGTTCATAGCATTATCTACAATGTATTTCTAGTTTTTGTGTACTCTTCTGTTTGTCTACCTAGTTCCTATTATTCAGACATATATCTATTTATATAGACTATTGTTTATCTTTTTATTGTCTGTCGTTATTACTAGCCATTAATGTTGGGATGATCTTAGCACTGTCCAATAGAACTTTCTGAAATGGCAGAAATGTTCTATATCAGTGCCATTTACTATGGTGACCATCAGACACATGTAGCTATTGAGTTTTTAACATGTGGCTAGTGCAACTGGGAAAGTGAATTTTAAACTTTATTTCACTTTAGTTATTTAAATTTAACTTGAAATAGGCACGTGGCTATTGGTAACTACCATAGTGGACAGCTCAGATCTGAATAGAAGAATATATCTGCAGTTTCCCCTCTTAATTGATTAGATTGTGTTGAGTCTGGGAAGAGGTAATATTTGGGATTTCATGCAGGCTTGATTTCCAGAGTTAACTGTTGTGGGGGCAGGCAAAATGGCACATCTTTATAAATGAAGAAATAGGCTCAGGGAAATGAAGTCACTGCTGAAGCTGACACAGGGGGTCAATGGCTGAGCCTATTCCCTCCCTGCAAGGCTCCAGCTGGCAGCTTCTTCTTCTGTGCAGTCCTCCAGGAATCCAGGTCCCTTCTTCTCTCTCTTGGAGGTGACTTAGGAAGAGTCACTGGACAATCAGAATAGGCCCACTTGTCCAGTGTGTGGCATGTGAGTATGCGTGTTTGGGTGTATGCATGCGTGTATATGAGCAGGCTCTTGGCAGAGATTGTGTAACCTGCTACACAGAAACAAGGATGATGTGCAAATATGAATTGTCCACTGCGCCCTCCCCAATCCAGTCCATAATAACTGTTTATTTTAGGTGCATTTCAGGGACTGATGTCATTTTATAGTCTGTTTAATGCAACCATTCTAACGGGCCCGTTAGAGCACTGGAAAAGATGTGGTGGTGTCTGAGCACAGGAGAGTCCAGTCAGGGGGTTAGAGACACCCTTGGAGCTTCTCCCAAGCCCTGCCAGCTAGCAATTGCCAGCTACTGAGGAATTGCCAAGTGCCAGGCCCTGGGCTCAGCACCCTACATACAGCATCTCATCAATATTTACATCCCAACACATGAGGAAAATGGCCCCAGCCCCCATTTTATAGAGGCATCGAGAGGCATCTAGCTAGGATGTGGCTGAGCCACTCCAAAGCCTGAAGTCTTAAACTCTTAGCTCTTTTCTTCAGTGACTGGCTTCAAACTATTATATTTTCCCTGTTGTCCTTTAGCCCACAGCAGCCAGCTGATATGGAGAATGTTTGTGTGGGCAAACGTCTTAATTGCCAAGGGTATGGACTCCAGAGTGGGGACGGGCAAGTTCCCTCCTGATTTCATCACATGCAAATCATGCACATGCATCACTTTAACGACACTGTCCTTGAGCTGGTACAGGAGGAGACTTATGGATTTTCCCCAAATATAATCTTATTTTCCATGAGCTTACCATATGATTCTAGGAGTGAGTTCCATGTCATTTTTTTTTTTTTTTTTTGATAGAGTCTTGCTCCGTGGCCCAGACTACAGTGCAGTGATGCTATCATAGCTCACTGTAGCCTCAGACTCCTGGGCTCAAGTGATCCTCCCTTCTGAATAGCCAGGACTACAGCCACATACCACCATGCCTGGCTGTTGCAATTATTTTTTTTTTTATAGAGACAGGATCTCACTATGCTGCCCAGGTTGGTCTTGAACTACTGGCCTCAAGTGATCCTCCTGGCTTGGCCTCCCAAAGTGTTGGGATTACAGGTGTGAGCCACCATGCCCAGCCAGAATTCCATGCCACTCTTACAGAGCTGACCGTTCTTGCTGCCAGATCTTTAACCCACCAAGCCCAGATCTTTTCCAGGGTTGCTGGGACCAGGGTATTATACTCCTGGTGAGCTGGTTACTCAGAATGATTCCTAGGCATGATGAGGCTGTAACCAAAAGAGCATGTGGAATCTGCAGCACAGCTCCAGCTGGTTCCAGCTTGTCTCATCATGGCCGGATGATGAAGGGCTCTTCCTTTCACAGCACCATTCATCTCTCCCTAGGTGTCCTGAGCCCACTGTGCTGGAGGCTGTTGAAAAGGGAGGTTGTCCATAGCAGATGAGTCGGATGAGGCTGAGTAGAGGAGTCACTCCTTCTGGGTGATCAATGGGTGATGCATTGGCTGTGGTGAGAAAGTGAGTTCTAGTCCTGCTTAATCTCTGACGAGGGGAGCAACATTGTGTACAAGTATTCAAACAGAGGCTCCATAAATAACAATAATTCATCATACTTGTTGAGTGCCATGCAGTTGTGAATGGTGCACTCTCTCCTTCCCCTTCTACAGTCACCTCATTGACTGCACATTTCACAGATAAGGCTCAGAGAGGGGACATGAATTGCCCAAAGTAACACAGCTAGAATGTAGTAAAGGCAAGGTTCTAAACCTAGGTCTGGATGATGTCAAATCCCAAGATTGGGATCCCTTTAAAGTGTAATAACAGTGGTCATGACATAGATTCGGAGCTACAGTAAAACCTTATCAGGCCCCAAACTGAAAAGATTTTAGTGCCCTCTTTTCCTATATGTAATTAAAAATGAAAACAATCCTAAACTATAAAGTATTAAAAAAGCACAACAAACTTGTAACCCCCCAGCCCCCATCCCAGGGTAACTATAGTGCCTTTTTCTTTTTCTCTATTAAATTGCATTCAAAAGCTCTCTTTTCCTGATCTTCTCCTCTCTCTGCTCCACTTCCTCTCATTTTGACTGTCTGCTTTTCCGAAGCTCTAGTCCTGCTTAATCTCTGACGAGGGGAGTAACATTGTGTACAGAGGTCATGAGGTTTATCCTGTGATGACTGGAGTGTGAAGGACAGAATCTTCACTAGATTCCCTTTCAACTCAGAGTCTGGGATTCTATCACTTCAAAAACAGCAAGATATATCACTTCATCATGTGGCAATGTCTAATATTCTGAGAATATTGTAAACACTTGTTAAAATCTCTTCCTTATGAGGAATGGAGAAAGAAGTATTAAGGGAAAAGACAAACTGTGAACACAAATATCTGCTTACACCTTGGAAGGCGAATTACCAGTGAGACAATGTGCTTTATTTCATATGCAAATGTGGCAAGAAAAACCCAACACAATGCCAACTAAGCTACACAGACTAAGGCAGCAAAGAATGGTATCACTGCAAAGCGCTACTTGGTTCGCCTATTTAGATTTGCTCCACAGAGCACTATATTTGAGAGGATGGATAAAAACCAAAACCCATACATTAATAATCTGGTACATTCTGAATGGCATTTTATTGATATGAGCAATTCAAAATGAGAGTGTTCAGTGTACTGTGGCTTCATTCATAAAGTACATGGTTCCTGAATTTTCATTTGGATTGCATGTATAGTTCGCAAATTGGTTATTTCTTCTTTACACTTGGGTTCCTGATTTCATTTGGTGGTGACAGCTCTGAAATTTGGGTTTGTAACGCTTGTTGCTTCTTCGCATTGGCAATTTTCTCTCTTCCCCCTGGGGATACTGTGGACATCTTACTAATTGGTTAAAGATAATTGGGAAGGAAAGCTGTGTCACATAATTGGAAGATGCAACAGTAGAGCCTGTCCTTTTCTAGACTTAAACGCTTCCAGAAAGAAGATGTCAGTTTTCATTTGGCTTTTATGAGGAAGAAATGGCACTGAATGAATGGTGAGCCCTTAATAGGTTGGGCTTTGTGTCTCAAGGATCAATCTTCCTTGACTGTGAGCTTTGTGAGGGGCAGGAGCTGTGTCCCATTCACTGAGTCCCTGTCTCCTGGCACAGTGTCTGAAACACAGCAGGTGCTCAGGAAACATCTCCTCAACCTATGAAGGACTGAAGGGATGGCTATGGGGAAGGTTCTATCAGTGCTTCTAGATAGTTCCAGTTTCCAGTTAAATGAAAGATTAATGATTAACAGGATAAAAACCAGCTTTTTTTTTAGAAGGAAGATGGCAGATAGAAGGCAGGACTAACTTGCAGCTCCAGCTTCGACAAATAGAGCAGCATGTGGAGACTCACATCATTAACTTTTGCTCCAGAACTACTGCAGGAATATACCAGGAATGCTGAGCGAATCCATAGACGCTCTGAAGGAAGTGGATTGCTCCTGCAGGGCCTGGGAGGCAGCCCAAATACTGTGAGTGCCCAAGCTGTGACAGTGGGAAAGGGGAATCATCCGCCCCCAAACACACACCCTCACTGGGGAACCTGAAGGTCTAGATCACAGGAGAAGGACTGAACCTTACCTGGAGCTGAGTTAATTGAGAGAGCTGAGTGAAATACAGGGGTAGAGGAAGCAGCAGGAAAAGCCCTGTGGGCTCTCTGGGTCCCTAAGGAAGCCATTTCTGACTTGTCTCACAGGGGTCCTTAGGGAGGGCTGCCAGAGGAACTGGGAAAAGACCACAGACAGAAGGAAACCTCCAGGTGAACTCTGTAACAATTCCAACCAAACACGAGGTCTCCTGGCCAGAACTCGAAAGAGGGCATGAATCTGGTGTGTAGACTCCAGAGGTGGCGAGGCATGAAAGCCCTTCTTGTTTTCTCAGCTGGGAGGCTGGTAGCCTGGAGCAAGTTCTCAGCCTTGCTCATCCACTGCCTGGAAACAAGTTCGGTGCTGCTGGGGGAGTGCACAGTGGGAGTGAGACTGGCCTTTTGGGTTGCGTAGGAGCTGGGTGAGGCCTGTAACTGCTGGCTTTCCCCCACTTCCCTGACAACCTGCCTGACACAGCAGAGGGAGCCATAATCCTCCTGGGAGCATAACTCCATTGACATAGGAATCACACCTCCATCCCCCACAGTAGTGGCAGCAAGCCCCACCCAAGGAGAGTCTGAGCTCAGACATACCTAGCCTTGCCCTTACCTGATGGTCCTTTCCTACCCGCCCTGGTAGCAGAAGAGAAAGGGCATATTCTTTTAGGAGTTCTAGGGCCCTGCCCACTGCTTGATCCTCCCTCTACTACCACAGCTGATGCTGTCTTGAAAACGCCACTTCCTGGGAGGAGGCCAACCAGCACAAAACTAGTGCATTAAACCACCAAAGCTAAGAACCCTCACAGAGTCCATTTCACCCCCTCTGCCACCTCCACTGGAACAGGTGCTGGTATCCACAATGGAGAGACCTGAAGATGGTTCACATCACAGGATTCTGTGCAAACACCCCTCAGTACCAGCCCGGGGCCTGGTAGTCCTGCTGGGTGGTTAGATCCTGAAGGGAAATAATAATCACTACAGTTCAGCTCTCAGGAAGCCACATTTCTAGGAAAAGGGGGAGCGTACCACATCAAGGGAACACCCCATGGGACAAAAGAATCTGCATGGCAGCCTTGAGCCCCAGATCTTCCCTCTCACATAGCCTACCCAAATGAGAAGGAACCCGGAAAAAAAATACTGGTAACATGACAAAACAAGGTTCTTTAACACCCCCAAAAAGTCACACTAGCTCACCTGCAATGGATCCAAATGAAGAAGAAATCCCTGATTTACCTAAAAAAAGAATTTAGAAGGTTGATTATTAAACTAATCAAGGAGGCACCAGAGAAAGATGAAGTCCAATTTAAGGAAATAAAAAAATGATACAAGATATGAGGGAAGAAATCTTCAGTGAAATAGCATAAATAAAAAACAATCACAACTTCAGGAAATAAAGGACACACTTAGAGAAATGCAAAATGTACCGGAAAATCTCAGCAATAGAATCGAACAAGCAGCAGAAAGAACTTCAGACTCGAAGACAAGGTTTTTGATTTAACCCAATCCAACAAAGACAAAAGAATTTTTAAAAAATGAACAAAGCCTCCAAGAAGTTTGGGATTATGTTAAATGACCAAACCTAAGAATAATTGGCATTCCTAAGGAAGAAGAGAAATCTAAAAGTTTGGAAAACATATTTGGGGGAATAATTGAGGAAAACTTCCCCAGCCTTGCTAGAAACCTAGACATCCAAATACAAGAAGCTCAAAGAACACCTGGGAAATTTACTGCAAAAGATCATCACCTAGGCACACTGTCATCAGGTTATCTAAAGTCAAGATGAAGGAAAGAATCTTGAGAGCTGTGAGGCAAAAGCACCAGGTAACCTATAAAGGAAAACCTATCAGATTAACAGCAGATTTGTCAGCAGAAACCCTACAAGCTAGAAGGGATTGGGACCCTATCTTCAACCTCCGTAAATAGCCAAGAATTTGGTATCCAGTGAAACTAAGCTCCATAAATGAAGGAAAGATGATAGTCTTTTTCAGACAAACAAATGCTAAGAGAATTTGCCACTACCAAACCACCACTACAAGAACTACTAAAAGGAGCTCTAAATCTTGAAACAAATCCCAGAAACACATCAAAACAGAATCTCTTTAAAGCATAAATCTCACAGGACCTATAAAAATTTTTTTTAAAAACCCAAGGTATACAGGCAACAAATAGCATGATGAATGGAATAGTACCTCACATTTCAATACTAATGTTGAATGCAAATAGCCTAAATGCTCCACTTAGAAGATACAGAATTGCAGAATGGACAAGAATTCGCCAACCAAGTACCTGCTGCCTTCAAGAGACTCACCTGACACATAAAGACTCACATAAACTTAAGGTAGAGGTGGAAAAAGACATTCTACACAAATGGACACCAAAAGCGAGCAGAAGTAGCTATTCTTATATCAGACAAAACAAACTTTAAAGCAACAGCAGTTTAAAAAGACAAAGCAGGATATTATATAATGATAAAAGGCTTTGTCCAACAGGAAAATATCACAATCCTAAATATATACGCACCTAACACCAGAGCTCCCAAATTTATAAAACAATTACTACTGGACCTAAGAAATGAGATAGACAGCAACACAATAATACTAGGGGACTTCAATACTCCACTGACAGCACTAGACAGGTCTTCAAGACAGAACTTCAACAAAGAAACAATGGATTTAAACTATACCCTGGAACAAATGGACTTGACAAATATTTAAGAACATTCTACCCAACAACTGCAGAATATACATTCTATTCATCAGTGCATGGAATTTTCTCCAAGATAGACCATATGATAGGTCACAAAACAAGTCTCAATAAATTTAAGAAAACTGAAACTATATCAAGTACTGTCTCAGACCACAGTGCAATAAAATTGGAAATCAACTCCAAATGGAATCCTCAAAACCATATATACATGGAAATTAAATAACCTGCTCTTGAATGATCGTTGGGTCAACAATGAAATCAAGATGGAAATTAAAAAGTTCTTTGAACTGAACAATAATAGTGACACAACCTATCAAAACTTTTGAGACACAGCAAAAGTGATGCTAAGAGGAAACTTCATAGCATTAAACGCCTACATCAAAAAGTCTGAAAGAGCACAAATAGACAATCTAAGGTCACACCTCATGGAACTGGAGAAACAAGAACAATCCAAACCCCAACCCAGCAGAGGAAAAGAAATAACAAAGATCAGAGCAGAACTAAATGAAATTGAAGCAAGAGAAACAATACAAAAGATAAATGAAACAAAAAGCTGGTTCTTTGAAAAGATAAATAAAACTGATAGACCATTAGCAAGATTAACCAAAAAGAGAGAAGATCCAAATAAGCTCAATTAGAAACAAAATGGGAGATATTACAACCAACACCACAGAAATACAAAAGATCATTCAAGGCTACTATGAACACCTTTATGAACATAAACTATAAAACCTAGAGGAGATGCATAAATTCCTGGAAAGATACAATTCTCTTAGCTTAAATCAGGAAGAATTAGAAACCCTGAAGAGACCCAAAACAAACAGTGAAAATGAAATGGTAATTAAAAAAAATACCAACAGAAAAAGTCCAGGACCAGATGGATTCACAGCTGAAACCAGGCATTCAAAGAAGAATTGGTACCAATCCTATTGACACTATTCCATAAGATAGAGAAAGAGGGAATCCTCCCTAAATCATTCTATGAAGCTAGTATCACCCTAACACCAAAACTGGGAAAGGACATAACAAAAAAAGAAAATTACACACCAATATTCCTGTTGAACATAGATGCAAAAATCCCCACCAAAATACTAGCTAACCAAATTCAACAGCATATCAAAAAGGATAATACACCATTATCAAGTAGGTTTCATACTAGGGATGTAGGGATAGTTTAACATATGCAAGTCAATAAATATGACACACTACTTAAACAATTAACAACAAAAATCACATCACATGATCATCTCAATAGACACAGAAAAAGCATGTGACAAAATCCAGCATCACTTTTATGATTACAACTCTCAGCAAAATCGGCATACAAGGGACATACCTCAATGAAATAAAAGCCATCTATCACAACCCACAGCCAACATAATACTGAACTGGGAAAAGTTGAAAGCATTCCCTCTGAGAACTGGAACAAGACAAGGATGCCCACTCTCACCACTTCTATTCAACGTAGTATTGGAAGTCCTAGTCAGAGCAATCAGGCAAGAGAAAAAAAATAAAGGGCATTCAAATCACTAAAGAGGAAGTCAAACTGTTGCTGTTTGCTCATGGTATGACTGTATACCTAGAAAACCCTAAAGACTCCTCCAAAAAGCTCCTAGAACTGATTAATGAATTCAGCAAAGTTTCAGGATACAAAGTTAATGTACACAAGTCAGTAGCTCTGCTATACACCAACAGTGATCAAGCTAAGAATCAAATGAAGAACTCAACCTTTTTTTACAATAAGCTTTTCTTTTTTACAAATAAAATAAAATACTTAGGAATATATCTAACCAAGGAGGTGAAAGACCTCTGCAAGGACAACTACAAAACACTGCTGAAAGAAATCATAGACACAAACAAATGGAAAACACATGTCATGCTCATGGATGGGTAAAATTAACATTGTGAAAATAATCATATTGCCAAAAGCAATCTATAAATTCAATGCAATTCCCATCAAAATACCACCATCATTCTTCACAGAACTAGAAAAAACATTCCTAAAATTCACATGGAACTGAAAAGAGTCTACCTAGCCAAAGCAAGACTAAGCAAAAAGAACAAATCTGGAGGCATCACATTACCTGATTTCAAACTATATTATAAAGCCACAGTCACCAAAACAGCATGGTACTGGTATAAAAATAGGCACATAGACCAGTGGAACAGAACAGAGAACCAAGAAATAAATCCAAATACTTACAGCCAACTGATCTTCAACAAAGCAAACAAAAACATAAAGTGGGGAAAGGACACCCTATTCAACAAATGGTGCTGGGATAATTGGCAAGCCACATGTAGGAGAATGAAACTGGATCCTCATCTCTCACCTTGTACAAAAGTCAACTCCAGATGGATCAAGGACTTAAATCTAAGACCTAAAACTATACAAATTCTAGAAGATAACATTGGAAAAACCCTTCTAGACATTGGCTTAGGCAAAGGTTTCATGACCAAAAGAACCCAAAAGCAAATGCAACAAAAACAAAACAAAGATACATACTTGGGACTTTAAATTAAACTAAAGAGCTTTTGCAGAGCAAAAGGAACAGTCAGCAGAGTAAACAGACAACCCACAGAGTGGGGGAAAATCTTCACAATCTATACACCTGACAAAGGAATAATATCCAGAATCTACAAGGAACTCTAACAAATTAGCAAGAAATAAACAATCCCATCAAAAAGTGGGCTAAGAGCATGAATAGAAATTGCTCAAAATAAGATATACAAATGGCCATCAAACATATGAAAAAATGCTCAACATAACTAATGATCACAGAAATGCAAATCAAAACCACAATGTGATACCACCCTACTCCCTCAAGAATGACCATTATCAAAAAAAAAAAAAATAGATGTTGGCATGGATGTGCTGACAAGGGAACACTTCTACACTGCTGGTAGGAATGTAAACCAGTACAACCACTATGGAAAACAGTCTGGAGATTCTTTAAAGATCTAAAAGCAGAACTACCATTTGATCCACTAATGGGTATCTACCCAGAGGAAAAGAAGTCATTATACAAAAAAGATACTTGCACATGCATGTTTATAGCAGCACAATTTGTAATTACAAAAATATGGAACTAGCCCAAATGCCCATCAATCAATGAGTGGATAAAGAAATTGTGGTATATATGTATAATGGAATACTACTCAGCCATAAAAAGCAATGAATTAATGGCATTTGCAGCAAACAAGATGGGATTGGAGACTATTATTCTAAGCGAAGTAACTCAGGAATGAAAAACCGAACATTGTATGTTCTCACTCGTAAGTGGGAGCTAAGCTATGAGAATGCAAAGGCATAAGGATGATACAATAGACTTCAAGGACTCATGAGGAAAGGGTGGGAAGGGGGTGAGGGGAAAAAGGCTACAAACTGGGTTCAGTGTATACTGCTTGGGTGACAGGCGCACCAAAATCTCACAAACCACTAAAGAACTTATGTAAGCAAATACTACCTGTTCCCCAAAAACCTATGGAAATAATAAAAAACAGGATAAAACCATACCCAGATATGCATGCCCACTTCTCCAGGGCTAATGCCTTCTCAGTTGTGGCATCTGGTTTCTGGTCTCAGCCTTTGGTTCTCTTTTACCTGGACCCATTCTAAAAGAGTTGGTCACTGTGGCACACAAAGTGTGTTCAGGACCAACCAGTTTTAGGGATAAAATCTCACAGAGAAGCAAACTTCTAGTTCCCAAAGCCCCTGAACATTAATACATGAAGCAACTTGGGGCATTCTGGCCCTTTGTTTTCCTAGTTGTAAGACTGTCCAGAACCTCTCTTGATGCTGCTGAAACTTGACCTAGAAAATGGACATCCCAAGGGGCATGCAATCAGCCCCTGGCTTTGTCTCCCAATCCCAGCAGAGTAGGATAAACCATGAGAAATCCAGTGCAACATCCAGCCTATTGGGAGATCCTGTGCCCCAAATCCAGCTGTTCTCAAAGCTTCCCTAGGCAAGGCATCTGGTGGTTGCCTGATTTTTCATTGGGTTGTGTTGACATCATGGGGATACAGCCTCAAGG
Source organism: Homo sapiens (assembly GCF_000001405.40). Taxonomy (NCBI): domain Eukaryota; kingdom Metazoa; phylum Chordata; class Mammalia; order Primates; family Hominidae; genus Homo; species Homo sapiens. The sequence continues at coordinate 33,676,316 of NC_000011.10, read as the reverse complement.
GGTGTGGCTTTCACAGGACCTGTAGGTCTCCCAAAGGCCTCTCCCACCAGGACTGAGGAGCTGAGTGATGAAGTGGGCACCAAAAGAAAAAGCAAGCTCTCATATATGTTGAGTGAAGATTCATCAGAGTCCAGGGGCTTGGGGGACAGATTGGTGGTGAAACTGTTACGCTAATGAGACTATTTCAATTCCAATGAGTCCCATGGCCTCTGCCCAAATGTGAGTTTGTGCATGTGCAAATATTAACACTGAAATGTTAAAAATGAAGTGCTGAACTGTGCAAGCCAGTGTTGATCATAACCATACCTCCAAGTGGTTACAGAGAGACCCAAAGCAATTGTTTCTTACTGTCTTAGTCTGTTCAGGCTGCTATAACAAAATACCATAAACTGGATGGTAACTTATTTCTCACAGTTCTAATCTGGGAAGTCCAAATTCAAGGTACCAGCAGATTTGGTGTCTGTGAGGACCCGCTTCCTGGTTCATAGATGGCAGAAGAGATGAGGGGTCTCTTTGGGGCCTTTATTACATATAACAGCACTAATCTCATTAATGAAGGTTCATGACCTAATCAACTCCCAAAGACCCCACCTCCAGATACCTTCACATTGGGGATTAGGTTTTAAGACATGAACTGGGGAGTGGGGGTGACACAAACATGCAGTCTGTAGCACCTACTACTCATCCGTGTACACTTTACCAGTGGTTGACCCTCAACGATGTTTCCATTACTTGGTTCCACACTCCTTCGTAGGCACATTCTTTCTGGTTTCTAGTGGCCAGCAGAGCTCATGAGTTGGATGCATGACATTTACTCAGAAGTCTACAGAATGTCCTTTGGAAGAAGTATGTTCTCCTGTTTATGATGGAGACTTAGCAAGGCGAAGCTGGGCTTGCAATATGCCTTTTCCAGCTTCCTGTGCCTGTGTCTGCCTCCTACTCCTGGTACTGACATAGGCACCACCACTTCCTTTTACTTGATTATTTCATTTGCCTTGAAAGCCAAGAGCAACCAGGGTCCAGGAGGAAGGAAAAAAAATGGAAGAGTAGGGAACCCATCAGTTCTTGGACCTACTTGTACTATTCTCTGCAATGGCCTTCACCCCACGGTGAGCCTCACAAAAAGCATTTCATAGGGGCTCCAAGTTTATTTCTCACTGTAGCAAGATAGTGGCTTTGGAAATGTCTTTTGTGCGTATTTGAGTCCTCTTTACAGAGAAGCAGAGAGTGGAGTAAAAAAGTTGCTCCTCCAGTCTCTTAAGTACTTTCTAAGTACATGGAGAGAACTGGAGCAAATTAGGCTTCAGTGAGAAGCAGCACCATGTTGCTGCCCAAGCTCAATGGATCCATAAGAGTCCCAGGGTTGTGACTGACCACCAGGGCACAGGGATGCCTCAGAAATTGGTTGGTTTGTCTGTTTTCATTACAAGAGACAGGCTTTCTTACCTTTGAAATCTCCTTGGCCTCAAGGCCACTTCTTACTCAATATTCTGCCTTCTTAAAACTTTGCTTTGAATATGGTCCATCATGGCCTCTCTGAGTCTTGACCACCCAATTTCAACATCTACTGATAACAGACTCTGTCTCTTGGTATTTCCTAGAGAGAGAATCCAGTTGGCCTAGCCCATGTGTTGAGCCACATTTTTGTGGCTGGTCAGCCTGTGAGCTTGTGACTCCTGGGTCGATATCTCTCCTGTCCAATAGGCGGAAGCCAGAGGGCAGAGCAGGCGGCACCACATATGTTCTCTGGATAGGGCTGAACATAAGGCAGGCATCAGGACTGCTGGGACTCACATAGGGTAGGACAGATGGGTGGTCTGGGGAGCTGGTGTCCCATACCACTGTCATTCTTGGACTCCTTGGGAGCCACTGACCTGGATGAGACTTCTTTATGCTCTGAGAATGGCACCTAAGTGGACATTGGCTTCTTCTCCCTTGGGTCCTGTTGGCCCCAGGAATACATCTTTCTTTAGCTGCTAAGTCATGGGTAGGCTGAAACTGCTTCTCTGAGGCCTGTGGATGGCCAGGGGTGAGCATTTTTTTGGCCCATGAGCTCATCACCCAAGCTGGGATGGCTCCTGAGACCACACTGGAATGTGGTCTCCAGGACTGGAATGGCTCTTTAGCAACCCCCAACAGGCACTGTTTTGTGGCTGGCTTGTGAAAGGGATTCCATCTCACCATCTGGAGGAGGTAGAATGAGAAACAGGCAGGTTTTGGGGTATGAAAGCCTTTGTCATTTTATTTTACAATAAAAAATTCTAACAGCATATGAACACTCTGTTCCCGGCAGAGGCTAAGGACGTACAAAGTTCATTAGAAAGCGAAGCATTAAAATAACAACAGCTACATTCAAAGCTTCTGCTCAGTACTTTGCCCAATGTGTCTAATATGGTTTTAAAGACTCACCGGTTGGGGTTTTTCACCCAGAGTTAAAGCACATGTACAAGTACTTACATATCCTCCAAATCATAGACAACAAGGACAATAACAGCAACTCCAGATGAGGCTAGATCTTGTGGGCAATTTCAAATTTAGGAATTTCTTTATTTTTCCTTGGCAAAACATGGTGTCATGGAACATGTGACTGTATAAATTAATTCAGCAGATAGGAGGAGCTAAAATATTTTCCTGGATAAAACCGAATTACAAAACTAATAATTTAGTAAGAATGGCTTCAAGTGCTTGTCAAGCCATTTTCAGATACATTATGCATGTGCTCCTCAAAATCACCATGGGAAGTACAGAGGGTCTTATACTCATTTGACAGATGAGGAATCAGAGACCAGTTTAAAGTGAGTTGATCAAGGTCTAGGATATTTATACCTTTTTCACAATTTCCAGTCCATTCATATGCCTCTGATTCTGTTTGATACAAATCTTTTCTCAGTTTGTGTGTGAGATGGGGGCGTGTTTAAACATAAGGAAGAAATGAGGAGAAATAAGATGGGGCCACAGTAATTTATGTAAAATATGTTGATGGCCTCTCTCCATAATTTGCAAAAGTCTGACCAAAGTCAGAGAATGAAAACGATCAATTTTTAGATTTCACTTATAATGGCTCTCACTGAAGTATGGTTTGACCAATGGAGACAGATTCTGCCATATCACAAACTTCCCATTTTTTTTAAACCTGCAGAATCAGAGCAACTGCATATCTTCTAAAGTAATGTGTGTGTGGCACAATTATATTTCCTAAATATTCCTTCTCAGAAACACCTTACATTTTAGCATTTACCACAGGCTAGGATTCTGTAACAGTTCACCTAAGAAATCAAGAGGCCTTTCAATTCTCAGGACACTAAGTTATTATATTCAGAAGGTCACAGCCAAAAAATAATGTAAGTTTCACTTGAAACCAATTTTGTTTCAAAAGACTCTGTTGAGGGGCTCATTGGTTTTCTTATCCATGCAAGTGTGTGGCCGTGAGCCACATTAGTAGCACCTGAGCTAAGATCATGCAATTCAATTTACAAGTATTTATTGTCTGCTGAGCAAGACATTGTGCTAACTGGGCCTTGTTCAGAAATCGCTTCCTAGACCCAGCGGCTGTATCAATAACTGGTGGTGGGGTGAGAAGTGGCTGGGGCAGCTCTGGCCAGTCTAGCAGAGTTTCAAGTGTGTGCACCCTCACCTGATGTGCAAGTGAAGATGCCCCTTTTCTCTGTGTGGTAGTATCCAGGGGACTGCTCTCCGAGTGCTGGCTGCTGCGTGGCATGGCATCCCAGGAGTACTAGTCAGTTCCAGTGTGTAGTAGGTTCTTTTTGAAGGTCTTGCCCACTCATGCTCCTTCTTCTGGGTACCAGCCCCCAATAAAAGTCCCTGCTGAAAGGGTCAGTCCATGGGGCCATGCTTAAATGACACGGCCCTGCCTCCTTGGTAACAGGTGATTGGACAGGCACCTGACCCCAGGGTGGCTCACCCATAGGCAGATGAACTAAACCAATCAGATCCTCAAAAATTTGCCTTAGGCATCACAGAGATGCTAGTCAGAGCGTGGTGGGTACTGAAAAGGAAAGGTTGTGTGGAGTGGGTTCTTGAGGGGTGGATTTTTCAGCTACATATGCACTAATGAGAAAGCTGGTTGGCCAGGAGAAGCAAGAGAACCAGGCAGATAGATAGGCAGAGGGAAACAGAGAAGAAAGTCCATGAGGACAGAGAATGTGAGAGCAAGAGCAAAGGTAGCTGTCTCCATCCCTTTCCTGTAGGGGAGCCGTGTTCTGTGTTTGTGAAATGTCCCTCTATTCTTTCAGCCAACACCTGCACTTCAAGTGTGAAAGGGTTTCTAGTCCTTGCAAAACTCCTTGCCTGGAACACCTTTGAGGTTGGACTGAATGGCAGAATTTAATTTCCAACACTTAGACCCCAGTCAGTCCCTACTCCAAGCTAAATGACACTCTTTCCTTAAGAGTATTTGGATGTAGTTTGTAAATAAAATCCAAATTATTTTCTGGTGTGTGATAAGAGGAATTTAGGATTAAGTACAAATCCTGTTTTTAAACTTTTAAGACAGTATCTGTTATATTATTCATTAAATGTTGAGCACCTGTGTGCTATGTAGAAAAAAAGGAAACTCGTTTATATGTAATCAATGTTTAAATCTTTTGATCCATTTCTCTAATTTCTGCCTGTTAGAAAAAGCATCTCTATTAGTTAAATTCCTCACCTCCTCCATTCTACATTCTCTCTCCGAAGTAGGGTGTGTGTGTGTGTGTGTGTGTGTGTGTGTGTGTGTTTTAATCACAGATCTATTTCCTTTCTTCCATCAAGATTACTCAGACATTACATGTCCTTCTGCTGAGTGAGTTCTTAAATTAACAAACTCACAATAAAACTTCTCCTGGGACCAGGGAATTGATTCTTACATAATCTACCCTGAAAGAGGAAACTCCTTGCTCTGTAGGTAACAGCTGCCATCTTATTATGCACAAGCCTCAGATCATAGGTCTCAAGCCACACAATGGACCTTTACTGCACCTCCCCTGATGCAGAGCATGGACTCTGCTGCCTCACAGTGACACAAAGTCAAGGGCCTCCCTGCCTGCCTGTTGGGATCCTTGGTGCTGAGACAGGAATGCACCCCCACAGTCTAGAACAGCAGTTGAGGTCTCCGTTTCCTTGATGGTACTCTTTCTGGAAAAAGCCAAAATGCATTTCTTTTTCATGAATGCAGAAAACTCATATCAAAACCAGCACTGAAAACTATTTATTATGCCACAAATGCATCATCCTCTATACACTGTATCTGAAGTTCGTTATATACTCAATCATCTTTTTTCTTGGCAAGAACATTATGGAGTTCTTCATATGACCCTTATCTTTTTTTTAAACCTCTAGGCACAGCTAAAGAAATGTGTTACTGACAAGCCTGCAGGCCACATGGCGAGATGGAAAGCAAGCAGGTTCGTGAACCAGGAGGTTGGGACTGAATCACTGGGCCAGTCACTCCACTTCGTGGTACTTCTGCTTCCTCCTCCAAGGTCAACCAAGGTCCTTTTGTGGCTTCTGTGACTATCTAGAGGGTTCTGATGAACAGGGTGTTTGTTCATTGCTGCCTCCTCAGGGCTCTCTGGGAACCTTATTTCAATTCCTTGAGGCACTTTTGACCATCTCTTAGAGTCAGCTGTCCAGTCATCTCTCTCACCTCTATGAGGTTAGGAGATTCTTCAGGGAAGGGACCACATCTCACTCACAGAAAATCTGACCAGAGTGGCTCTGTCTCCCCATGAGTGGGATAACATGAACAGACTGATTTCTTTCCAACTTAAGGTTTTCCTCTCATCTATTAATACTATTCTTGAACCCATGGTGTCTAGTTTAAGACAGTATCTGATTTAGCATGCTATCTTTTTAGTCGTCTCAGTTGACTCACTCAGTATTTCCTGGGGCTCTGTAAAGACCACAGTGATTTGTGACTCCACCCTCTTAGCACTCTGGAGCCATAGCTCTGCAAACTGTAGACTCAGTCTCTGTAAGTCATTGAAACAGCCAAATTTCAGACACTGTCTTCTGAAACATTTACGTATACTTCAATTACAGTAAGATCTTGAAACATCATTTTCACATACAGTATTTCCAGGCATTTACCAAGTAGACAAAGTACTGGTTGATATCATTGCACTAATGAAATATTATTATTGATAAAGCAGGACAATGTAGCTGATTTTATCAGACTCATACCATTTGCATGAACAGGCTGAGTTTCTTTGGCTCTTTGTTCATTCAAGTGCATTGAATGCCTATGTGGATAGACGTAGGCATTGTGTTAACCTGTCAATAAAATCTCGCACTGTCCACAGTGTTTTGCAAACTGATTTAGGTTTTGGACTACAACAACTGGCCATTGATAGAAATATACCATATATACACACGGGAATTACAAAAATACATTTTATTTATAGCTGATTTCCTTTTTAAGTAACAAAACACTAACACTATGAAAGATCAACCAGCATACTAAAAGGACACTACCTATTATCATCCGAACAAGAGACTTGTTTGAAGGTTCCATGACACATCATCTCTGAACATTCCAGAAAGGGCAGTTTGCCATTGGAAAATATAAACAACTTCTTTGAAAAGTCTGTGCATTGACAGTTTGAACCTCCCCTTCTAATCAGTTCCATTTCTAGTCTTCTCTCAACTTTTAAATTTCTACTATCTTCTTTCAGTAAAGACCAAAGAAACTCGTTGAGGACAATGGAAGATGGGCTCAGAAGAAAATGGATACAGCTGAAGCTAGATGGGTCATGGGTGAAAGCAGGACAGGACCTCATTCTCCAACAGATACCAAGTAAGCCCCCAACACTGCACAGGCTGCCACACTTGGCGAGGGAACCAGAGTCCCCAATCTCCCTGCTACACAAAGTCAGTAGCTGTTTTGCTTGCATTGATGGGTAGGCAGCGGCTGGTGCCTCAGTGCCGTGAGGCGATGTCCTCTACCCACAGCTCTGGAAGCCAACTCACCATGCCAGGGAGGGCAACTTGCAACATCATGGTCACAAAGTGGCCACCCTACCATTTCAGCAAATGTCTTCCTATGTCCATTAACTAGGGGGAACTGGCTAACTCCATACGCTTTTTAAAAGGTTATTTACATTTAAATGAAATTCAACAGCTTTTCTACATTCAGAAGCTTCTATAAACAGAGGCTGCGGCCTGGGAAGACTGTGGTTCTACCACTCCTGTTTCTAACAGGAATCAAGTACTATTTCCTTTTGTACCACTCAGCAGCACACACTGGACATCATTGTTGAAGAGACAGAGATTTTCTTGTAAAAGTTGATGTATCTATTATCCCAAGAAAAAGAGAAGCTCCATTCTCAGGCCACCTTCAAAACAAGGCAAAGAAAAACCTTCACAAATAACTGTGTTTCTTTTGTAGGATCCTAAAAGCTCTTAGCACCGATTCTCTTTCAGTTAGATCCTAACTTGTAGGGGACTTTTATTTCCAAAATGGCAACACCTTTTAAAAAATCTGTCAACGCAAATCCACCATTCCCTCTCATCTTCTCTCTTTCTTGGCCTTTGTTTAATTGACGAGGGAAACAAAGAATCAGGTCTATTTATAGGCACAGCCATTGGTACTGACTTTCATCCAGTTCATTTGACTTTGAATATGAACCTAAAAAAAAGGGGCTCAGGTTTCTTGGCTGGAGTCAGTGTCTCCCTTACAAACTGATTTTAATGCGCACGGTCATGGTTGAATGAGAATACAGTCTGGTGCTTAATCCACACTCCTGCATTGCCTTTAACACAGAAACAGAGTTAACATGCAGAGGTCACCGAAGATAAGAGCTACATTCTCCCGCTTCCGGTGATTTATTAAAATGTGGCATTGGATAGGAATCTGTAGATTAGCTAGTGCCTCTTGTGACTAAGCTTCCATAGGGCACATGCCCAAAGTTCAAACATTTGACATGAGAGAGTATCAAACATAAGGCCCCAAGCCAGGGACTTGACCCACAATCAGTTGGATGAGCCAAGAATCTAGTCGTTCAAGAGTTTCCTGTTCCCAGAAGCCCCATAGTTCACCTTTTCAGAAATGGAGGGTGAGAAAGACTCACCCATTGCTATGTCTCAAGTCCTAACACGTAGGCATGGGAAACCCAAAGGCTGAGTCCTCAGAGTTTGGAAGTCCAGAGTCCCACGGGGCTAAGGCGTTAGACCTGGAACTCAAACATGTCTGTCTGTTTTTTGGCCAGCTTGGCCACCTCCTCCCGGATGGCCTTCACAAGGGCCGCAGTGGAGATGTTGGTCAGGGGAGCGTCAGACGGGTCGTTTTCTGCCAGGCTCTGCTGCGAGGCCGCTGTGGAGGGCGCCGGGGCCTGCTCCAGGCTGGGGTGCAGGTTGGCTGGCTGGCTGTACTGACGAGGAAGCCTGGAGGGAGAGCTCTGGGGGTACCGTGATCGGGGGTAGGCCTCGATGTACCCTGGGAGGGGCACCTGCAGAGGGCGTGGGGAGAGAAGGACAGGGCCTGGCATGAGGAAGGAGCTCAAGTCACAGGACACACTTGACACTGGAAGCAGGAGGGGGCTGAGGACATGGAAGAGAACTTAGAAGAAAATGGAAGCCACATACCATTGTATAGATATAAAACTCAGAGTCAGTTTGTTTAGAAAATAGGTAATTTCGGTGGCTCACGCCTGTAATCCCGGCACTTTGGAAGTCCGAGGTGGACGGCTCATGAGGTCAGGAGATCAAGACCATCCTGGCTAAAATGGTGAAACCCCTTCTCTACTAAAAATACAAAAAAAATTAGCCAGGCATGGTGGCATGCGCCTGTAGTCCCAGCTACTTGGGAGGCTGAAGCAGGAGAGTCACTTGAACCCGGGAGGCAGAGGCTGCAATGAGCCGAGATTGTACCACTGCACTCCAGCCTGGGCGACAGAGTGAGACTCCGTCTCAAAAAAAAAAAAGGTAATTTGGACTCACTCACTAGATATACTGTTTGGATGAATTAAATAGGTGTTTTAAACTTTGCTGAAAAACCTTAGGAATATATATTTTGCTGAAAAACCTTAGGAAGATATATTTTGCTGAAAAACCTTAGGAATATATATCTGAGTCTATATTTGAATCTACCTGGCTACCTTATTTTTATTACTATTATTATTTTTAGTGATGATGTCTCACTCTGTCATCCAGGCTGTAGTGCAGTGGTACAATCATAGCTCACTGCAGTCTTGAACTCTGGGGCTCGAGTGATTCTCCTGCCTCAGCCTCCTGAGTAGCTGGGACTACAGGTGGGTACCACCATGCCCAGCACTTAGTTACCTTATTCATATAAGTACAATCCAGCAAACAGAACTGTTTATGTACCCCAGAGGAACCCAGGGGTTGATTAATAACAACATCGACTGAGCCCTTTGCTAAGGGTTTTCCACACATTATCTCATTTAGTTCTCAAAGCAATAAGCTAGGAGGTCGGTATTAGCCTTACCTTGCAGATGAGGAAACTGAAGAGTGCCACGGTCTAAGGCGACAAGCTACCAAGACACTCTTTGCAGAGGTCTGTCTGCTTTAAGGGCTGGAATTAATCACTGCATTACAACGTCTTGGATCTGGGATATGATTTTAGTTTCTTGAAACATTTTTCTCTCTTCATCAAAAGTGGAAGACACAGAGTCCTATGCTTAAAATATGTAAACTTCTAGGAATAAGGACAAGTAAGTAATTTTGAATTTAGAGTCGATTCTCCCACAGAAACAGTGGCACATACAGGGATGCTGTTTCAGGATAGTCCACATACCCCATGATGTTAATTGGAACACTATAGAATAAGCACCCACAGACAACAGAGGCACAGGGTGCTATGGCGAATGAAGTATGTATGGGAGGACTCGGCAGCTTAGATGAGTTTGGAAGTTGAACAGGGTCCCTCCAGGAAGATGCAGTGGGAGGGGGATTCTGGGCAAAGGGAAAATCAAATGTAAATCATCAAATCAAAATGTATGGGCGTACTGATGGCAGAGGCTGCTGCCATCATACTGGCTGCAGCAGGGATGCGTGGCTAGGGCTGCACACTCCATAGAGCCAGTGGGAGCCCTGCCCCTTCTGAGTTGGAGCAGGAGCTCCCCTGGATGCTGCTGCAGCCACCCAAACCATGACTGCAGACCCAGGCCTCCTGCTCTATGGAGCAGGCAGGAGCCCTGCCCTCCTGGGTGGGGCTACAGCCACCCAAATTGTGCTGTGGATTCGAGCCTCCCTGTGGATTTGGAGGGGGCCAGAAGCAGGCAGGATCTGCCCTGGGTACTGCTACAACCACCCCACCCATAGCTGCAGACCTGGCCTTCCCCCTCCACGGAGCAGGCAGGAGCCAGAGACAAGTTGGAACTCCACCCCTTCAGAGTTGGCAGGTCTGGAGCTCCCTGGGTGCAGCTGCAGCCACCCTCCCAGGCACAAGACTGGGCATCAGCCTGCATCCTCAGCATCTTGGGAAGGTGCCCCCCTCCCTGCTGGCTTGGGGGTGTCTGCTTCTGCTGCCTGGCCTCTCTCTTCCCCCTGTAGGGGCTCTGATTTCTGAGTGGGGTTGGGGACAAGCCCCCAGGGCCATGAATGGCAAGGGGTGGGGCGGACAGACAGACTCCTGGGTGGAAGAGGGCGGGTCTCCCACAAGGCCCTACCTTCAGAAGGCCAGGGGGGGCCTGAAGGTTGGGGGCCACCTGCCAGTCCTCAGGCTGGAGTGGGGACTCGTGGTACCTCTTCTGTCCCACCCATGGACCAATCAGCACACACTTCCTCCCCTCTGAGGTCCATAAAAGCCCTGGGGCTCAGTCAGAGCAGGGCAGAAGAGAGAGAGACTATGGGACAACCAGCAGCAGAGAGGAACTACCCTCCCTGCTGAGAGCTTCAGAGACATGCAGAGATGTCTGAACAAGTTGCTGCGGAGAGGAGCCACGCTCTCCAGGGCCTCCTCTCTGCTGAGAGCAGCAGACAGTGGAATGAGCAGTGGGCAGAGAGGAGCCACCCTCCCCAGGGCCACCTCTTTGCTGAAAGCTGAACACTCCATGGGATGACCTGCCTACAGAGAGAAGCTACCCACTGTGGGTCTCCTCTGAGCTGTTCTAACACTAAATAAACCTCCTTTTCACCTTCTTCACCTTTCATGTGTCTGCATACCTTATTCTTCCTGGACCCAGGACAAGAACTCGGGCAAAAGCACCACCGGCCACAGAGGTTTCCAGGAAGAAAACTGATACCCCAAAGATCCCATAACAGTACAAAAAGAAGAGTGTCCCCAGGAAGCATCAGTGACCTCAGGCTGACCAGAGAGGGTGTGTTTAGTGTGGGAGGAGCTCAGGCAAGACAGACAGGACTGGATTCATAAGCTGCTGAATATCAGGCTACAGAGTCTGCATGTCCCGTTTGATCTACCCGTTTTCAATGTCACACTTCTGAGAAATACAGCCTGTTCCCATGCTTAACAGCAATGCTCATCTGGCTCCTAAGGGAGGATGGAGCAGGAAGTCCTAGTCTGTTCTGGCTGCTATGCTGAAATACCATAAGCTGGGGAGCTTATAAACAACAGAAATTTCTTTCTCACAGTTCTAGAGGCTGCAAAGTCCGAGATCAAAGTGCCGGCAGATTCTGTATCTATCTGGTGAGGGCCCACTTTCTGGTTCAGAGACAGCTGTCTTTCTTTTCACTATCCTCTCACATGGCAGGAAAGGTCAGGGGTCTCTCTCACGCCTCTTTTCTAAGGGCACTAATCCCATTCATTAGGGGGTTCGCCCTCATGACCTAATCACCTCCCAAAGGTCCCATGTCCTAATACCATCACCTTGGGGGTTAGGATTTGAACATATGAATCGAGTGGGACATCACCAATTGGATGGGGTGATGACTCAGAAACTCTAGATGGGGGATGTGTGGTAGGAAAGCAGCCCCCTCTCCTCCCTGCTGGATGTTCCGGTGATCCCTCCTGAGAAGGCAGGTTCCTGAGATGTGCGGCTGACGCCTGGCTGGGAGCCACGGATGGGTGTCAGGCAGAGGGGGAGTCTATATTTGGAAAGGACACCTGGAGGTGGACCCACTGGAGGTAGGGAGCAGACAAGTTCTAAGGCTTTCTCAATGGGTCGGATGAGAACTGATGAGGACCCAAGCCAGGAAAGAAGTAACAGAACAGATGTCCCAAGTTACAAGTTGGGACTTTGATTTCCCCACAAGACCCAGCAAAGATAGACAAAATGGCACTAAGAGTGGGTCTTTATATACAAGCACTGATATGTTTCATTTGTATCTTAGAGGAAAACCAGAGTTGGGCTGTCTGAGTCCTTGGGCCACATGAGCTGGGAAGGTACAGGTTATTGGGCTCACCAAAGAACCAAGACCAGGACATGGGGTACGTATTTCAGATCTCAGCTCAAATTTCCTTTCTTTCAGGAGACCTTTCCCAGCCCAACAATTGCCTAGGGGTCCCTGTTAAATGTTTCCTTGCACTTTCTCCAGCGTAACAGTTATTGCTCCTGATGCCATTGCCTGTCTCAGGCTGTCAACTCCATGAAGGTGGAGAGTGCCTCACTTGCTTATTGCTGTACACCAGTGCTCAGAATTGTGCAGAGCAAGAGCAGGGAGTCTCTCAGAACCTGGGGTTCTGAGGAGCACAGTCTGAAAATCACTGAAGAATGATTGGCTGGGGTCAAATTTTTGAGAAGGAAGCTACCACATTCCCTTTCCCTGCATTTCAAATTCAGCTAACTGTACTTGCTGTGGCTGAGAGAGCCAATGTCCAACTCCTGAGACCCCTCAGCTCTATGGTATCAAGCTTGTTGGTGCTGGTGGCTGGGACAGGCAAGGGATACCTGATCCCACTGGAGTATCCTCAGGGCAATATTCAGCAGCAGGGCAGAAGCAGGGAAGATGACATGAGAAACTCTTCCTCCCTTATAGTAGATGCAGGCTGGAGCCATCATGCCCTTCCTGCCAAAATTCAGGGCTGGCAAATACTACTACTTCCCTAGCCAGTGCCCATGGCAGACATCACCAACTTTATCACAGCACAGTTTCCTGCTGAGCCTGGAAGCCCCTCCCAATCCTTCTCCATCTGGCACCAAGGATGAAACCTATTTGTTATCCCAGGTCCAGGTGATTTTATCCAAGCTAGCTGCTGGGATCAGGAAGGTCAGACATCCAAATGCTGGTGAGGGACTTTGCTTTCTCACATAGATGTGGAAGGTGTGCATTATTCCTGGACCCTTTTCAAGCTGACAACTGGTCTCTCTGAGCCTCCTGCACTTATTTTCATATGCTATAAATCACCCGTTTCACCTTGCTCCTTTCATGGGCACGCCTCCCTGCTTAATTGCAGGTGATAGTTGGGCTCCAGGAAAGGCCCAATTAGGCTGCAGCAATCATCTTCCTCTTAATTTAAAACAACTAATAGGACATTGGTTCTCCTTCACACTGGGAGATGAGCCCAGAAGGGTCCAGTACAGTCATCATGGCAGGAAGGTTACATTTCCATTTGCTTGGTTCCTTTCTCTTCATCTTTAAGGCAATTATGAGCCCAAAGGCATCTAGATGTAGTTATAAGCCTGGCTAAATTATCATTTTAAGTGTCTTGAACACAGGGGTCAAGGTTTTGGAAAATACTTTCACCAACTCCAGTTGGTGCCCAGGGTTACACTCCACACAACAGGTGAAGTGTCAAAGCTGCAGGCGTAAGGGAATTACTGCCTAAGTAGTTCAAGTTAAACATCATCTACTTTCTGAAAAGTCTGCATAACTTTCAGATGAAGTGGAATTACAAAATCAATAACCTCTGAATTGCTCAAATCATATCCAGTGGTATCAGCCATGTGGAATAGCAGAGAATGACAAAGGACACAAAAAAGGCCCCCAAACAATACAAACAGATGCCGTAAAGTCCCACATTCAGATTCACAGACTGAACAGCAGGGGATCCCTCTAGTTCCTCTCTTAGAGCTTATTTACTCCAAGTTTACAAACAATTCTAATGAGCACAGATAAGCCTCATTTGCAGATAATGGCACATGATGCAAAGCACACTTAAGGGTGGGCATATTACTAGATGTGGGGACATTAACAGCAATATTGAGTGGCCACTAGAAGCAAAGTCAGAAAAAAAATATACTGGGCCATGATAGTAACTCCAAAAATTATAGTAGTTTGGAGATATTTCACAATATAAGGTCAATAATCCTACAAGCCATGAGAGTTCATCCTACAAATGCCATTTTAGTATAATGAGGCATCATAAGGATACTGAATCATTCATAAAAGGCAAATTACATTGTATACTCTTTTAACGGAGGAGAGGGAAGATAGCATTCATTTCAGAAATATTTTTATGCCAAGCTGCATATATTTTTAAATGTTTTGGAAATTAAAGGGGTAAGACTTGGTCATCTGGAAAATTAATAAATGTAATAATTCAGTCTTGGGTTTCTTTTTTTTTTTTTTTTTTTTTTTTTTTGAGACATAGTCTTGCTCTATCGCCCCAGCGGGAGTGGAGTGGCGCGATCTTGGCTCACTGCAACCTCTGCCTCCTGGGTTTAAGTGATTCTCCTGCTTCAGCTTCCCCAGTAGCTAGAATTACAGGCACTCACCATCACGCCCAGCTAATTTTTGTGGTTTTAGTAGAGAAGGGGTTTCACCATGTTTGCCAGGCTGGTCTCTCACTCCTGATGTCAGGTGACCTGCCCGCCTCAGCCTCCCAAAGTGGTGGGATTACAGGCATAAGCCACGGCACCCAGCCCAATCTTGGGTTTCTAATCCTTCATTTTCTGACATTTCTTCTAAAACTTTACAGAATTATTATGCTAAAAGAAACGAATTTAATAAAAGCTTTGGAGCCAAACAGGTGTGGGTTTGAATTCTGTCCTTGGCATTTCCTTCCTAGCTGTGTGGCCTTAGATAAGTGGCATCCCCTGACTCGGCCCTGATTTCCTCATCTGCAAGATGGGAGTAATCACGGGAATAATACCTACCTAAGATTGTAATAAAGATTAAATAATATAAACAAAACATCTGACAAGGTGTCTAGTAGATAGAAAATACTCAACAAATGGTAGTTATTATTATAAAAATGTACTTGATTAAGGTCGTCCTGCTAGGAAGAGGTGGGAGCTGGACTAGAAGGCAGGTCTCAAGGTCCTCTGTCAAGGGGACATCCCCTCTCACCACACCATCTGTCTCCTTTAAAATGGCTGACTTTAGTCATCCGGGTACTGTGAGGAGGCTGAGATAACAAAACCTTCAGTCTCAACCTTTTATCTAATTTACTTTTTGGCATGTGTTAAGCAGGTAAAGTTTTATGAGGTGAAGAGCAAGGGTCTCACCGAATCTGCCCACTGGCTCGGGAGCTCATTCTCTCCTGCATAGGACATCCAGGCCTGGTTCCTATAGGATGAGGGAGGCGTTGGGATGAAGTAGCCGGTGAAGCCAGGTCTGTTGGCAGCTGGGATGGCGAACACTGCTGGCACCGTATTACCTGGCATGGAGGAAATGGAGGAGGGAGGTTAAGAGAGGCTGGTCTGAGGGATCCAGCCACCCAAGAGCCAAATAAAGTCAGTTTCATTGGCTCCCTGGCTGGCTGCTGGATTTGAAGTCTCATTAAATCAGGTCTGAGCTGAGGGGAGCTTGCTCTGGGCTGTAACATTTGCTGGGGAATTTAGTTTCATTTAAGGTGCAGTGGACCTGGCCATGATGGCTAAGATCCCAGGTGATGTAGCAACAGAGGCAGGTGGGATGCGATGGAGGAAACCTGGTCTTCTTTCTTTTTTTTTTTTGAGACGGAGTCTCGCTCTGTCGCCCAGGCTGGAGTGCAGTGTCGCGATCTTGGCTCACTGCAAACTCCTCCTCCTGGGTTCACGCCACTCTCCTGCGTCAGCCTCCTGAGTAACTGGAACTACAAGCGCCTGCCACTGTGCCTGGCTAATTTTTTGTATTTTTAGTAGAGATGGGGTTTCACCGTGGTCTCGAACTCCTGACCTTGTGATCCGCCTGCCTCGGCCTCCCAAAGTGTTGGGATTACAGACATGAGCCACCGCGCCAGGCCACCTGGTCTTCTTTCTTTGTGGACCTCTTCTAGAGCCACTGTGCACAGCTGGGCAGATGGTGCACTGCTCAAGAGCATCTGGCCTAGAGGCCAAGTGGGCTAAAGTCCAGACAGTATTCCCTTTGCCAGGGGTGGAGTCTGTACTCACCTGGGGAAGGAAAGTCTTTTTCCAACTTCACCAAATGCAGCATGCACTAGTAGTGCTCTGGAATTTTCCCTTTTTCTCATCCCCTAAAGAGGGAGTTGTGGGCCCAGCCAGCACCCCGCCCACTAGGCCTGCATCTGCCCAGGCCTGGGGAATCTAGGGAAGCAGAGGAGGACTCTGGGATTGGCCGTGGCTAGGGGATGAGAGGACAAAGGTCTCCAGGGGTTGGGGGAGCAGCAGACCTCCACCTGCCATGCAGCCCCACTCACCCTCGCAGTCAGAATGAAAGGGCATCATCTGCTGGGACTCAGACCTGGCTTTCTACAGAAGTGGTGGTCCAACTCCCCCATCCCCATCCCAACACCCCTGACCTGCCAGCAAGAGGAAATAACACCTTGGTGGTCAGGTGTTTTCCTCCCAGGAGAGTGTGTATTTTTAAAGCGCCAAGAAAAAGAACCAAAAGAAATGGACTTCACTGGTGGAATTTCTAGACACCATGAATGCTTTACTAAGTGCTGGCAACTGAGTGCTTGCAGTTTTAGCCTAAAAGGTATGGTTTGGATAAACTAAGAAACCAATTACGTCATGTACAAACCTCAATGTTCATTTCAGCATTGTTTGTTATAGCAAAAAACTGGAAACTACCATTATGTCCATCAATAGGGAAAAGTCTAAACTGTGGCTTATCATAGAATACCACATGGCAGTTTAAATGAATGAACTAGATCTATATAGTATGTGTATAGCAACCTGGAGAAATTTTTTAAAACACTGTTAAATAGAGAAAGTACAAAAGGAAATGTATGCCATGATATCATTTATGTAAATTTCAAATACATTAAACATTAATATATACTGTTATATAAACATACATATGTGGCAAAGGATTAAAACCTATCACCTGAAGCCCGGGATCACCTTTTGAGAGAAGGGGAATGAAATGGGGGTGGATGGCTGTATCTGGAATGCTTTAAAGACAAAACCAAAAAAATTGAACTGAAGTCTGGCAAAATGTTAACATACATGCTGACTTTAGCATAACTTGGGATTTTGCCCAATTTCAGATCTTTAAAAGAAAGAAAATCAGCAGCTCTTTTAGTTGGGGCTCCTGAAGTTATGAGGGGATCCAGAAATGCAGTGGCTGTGATTCCTGAGGGTGGTAGGTAGAAAGGAGATTGGAACTGGGGATTTGAGGGAGGACAGGGCACAGCAGCAGTGGTGGGGGGCACACTCGGGCTTTTCTCTTGCCCACCTGAGTAATTTAAAGCCGACTGATCCAACTGCGTCACGGACACAGGGCCTCTGGACATCTGCGTGAAGGAGGCGCTGTCGTGCAGCTGGGCCGGCTCGGGCCCTGTAGACTCGGCCATTCTGGTCTTGCTGCCGATGTCTGAGGTGGATCTAGATGGGGCAGAGGGACTGCGTTAGCACTGTCCCAGACCTCAGGCGGCGTCCCGAGCAGGAGGAGTGCGCCCCGTCACCTTTGGGCATGGACAGCTGCCTCCAAGCCTCATGAGGTCCCCAGGACTGGATTTATTCCCAGATAACAAACGGACTTCTAGGAACACCAGCAGGGCAGGAGGCACCCAGACTTGTAGCAGCTGTCATGGTGGCCTCAGCTGAAATCATTTTTAGACGTTCAAGGTCAGTTCTCCCCTAAGGGTGGCTCTCATGTCTCTGGGTGGTAGAACATTTAATTTCCACATAAAATAAGAAAAGCAATTAGCCTTGGGTATTAGCTGGGGATGGTCGACCCAGGGGGTGATGACATCATCAGCAGCCAGTGGGAAGGCTCTCTCTGGAGTGCCTGGTTGCTCCCTTCTCACCGACACCAGAAAGGGGACCCGGGACAGCTGGGGAGCCACATTCCCTATTCCTAACTGGCAGGAAGCACCAAGCCCAAGACTTGGAAGCTCGGGCTGCTCCAGGGAGCAGTGGACATTCTAACAGAACTTTTTTTTGTTCCCCGGGCAATCAGAGAATCAAGCCCATTTAACACATCCTATTTCCACTTAGTGCTCAGAAAGCCGTGTAAGAAGAGGGCAGCCTAGGCTCTGTAGACGTGGGCATCTCCTGGTTTTTCCAAAGGGTCCTTCAGCCACAGACCATTTTCCTTCACAAGCATCAACCCTTGCCTGAGGCAGTTTCACAGAGGGACTTCAGGCTCCCCTAAAATTAGCCCAATGGGAGAGAGGCAAAGACAGCTGCAGCAGGCCTGGCCCCCCACAGGGCCACCCTCTGAGCTAAGCAGTGGCTGTCACAGAGCAAATGACAGCCACGGCAAGGGAGAACATGGGAGGCAGAGGTCTGGGTTCCAGCTACCTTCCCTTTCATTATTTTTATTTTTTTGTTTTGAGACAAGGTCTCACTCTGTCACCCAGGCTGGAGTGCAGTGGCACCACCTCGGCTCACTGCAACCTCTGCCTCCTGGGTTCAAGCGATTCTCCCACCTTAGCCTCCCAAGTAGCCGGGATTATAGGTGCATGCCAGTACGCCCACCTAATTTTTGTATTTTTAGTGTAGACGGGGTTTCACCATATTGTCCAGGCTGGTCTCAAACTCCTGGCCTCAAATGATCCACCCGCCTCAGCCTCCCAAAGTGCTGGGATTACAGGCATGAGCCACCATGCCCAGCCTACGTTCCCTTTCCAAGCCTGTTTCCTCATCTATACAATGACAGGGGTAGACAAACTCATCTCAAAGGTTCCTTCCTGGTCTAATCCTGAGTTTATATGAAGGGCAGTGCACCCCCCACCCCCGATATGTGGCAAGATAGCAAATGGCGTGGAGGGGCCTGGGAGGAGACAGGTGGTTGAAAGAAGAAATAAGAAATTGATGCTGGCCTTCAGCAAACCTCCCACAAATTGCTGGTATGAGGCCCCTCCAATCCAGGACTCTCAGGAGTAACCAAGAAGCCCGTTGCTACTCTCCTAGGAAGGTCCAATGTGGAGGCTGTATGATGTGACCGTTCATCAGGGTGGGGTCTCCCTTCCTCCCTCTCTGCTTGCTTGTTCCCACAGCCCTGGCTTCCCACACACTGTTCCAGGCATCTGCTACTTGTTCAGAAAACCCTTCCTGGGAAAATTTCTGAGTTATGCTCGATAAGCAATTCTGAGACCCCTTTCTGGGGAACCCTGGAGCTTTTGAGATCATCTAGGCCCCTGTGCTCATGTTACAGATAGAGAAACAGGGGCTGGAGGGGCAAGGCCAACTGCTGGGGCTGCACAGCAGGTCAGGGTCTGCTGCTTTCCACCCAGGCTCGGCTGGTGGCAAGAAGTGACGTCTACGCCCCTCCGCATTCTAAACCACTGGCAATGAGAGCGGGGTCCCTCCTATTCCGAGGGAAACTCCTATTTTTCTTCCCCATTCACAAAGCCCAGACCCATGGTTCACAGATAGGATGTGATTTGTATGTTGGGGGAAGCTGGAGTAGGAAGGCCAGGGCAGTGGTCCACATGTACCCCAGGGCACAGTTCTAGCCTTTCCCAGTGCTCAGGGCTTTTGTTCTTCTTGTCCATCCTTATTAAAAACATGCCCTCGTTAGATTTTCCTAAAGCAAAGAACATGCTTAACATATGTGTTGCAATTGAGATATCTGACTTCATACATTTTCAATCTCTCCCTCTTGGAAGTCAAGAGTTGGGGTGGATGCCCAGACATGCCTGCCCCTCCCTGGCTTCTCAGACACCACCCTTAAATAACCAAGGGACTTTTGGTAGCAGCTGTTGTGGTAGCCTGAGCTGGAGTCATTTTTAGATGTTCAAGGTCACGGTCTGAGGCTTTCCAGGTATGGGGCAGTTGACCTTGGGCTTCTTCAACTGTGGATTCTCAAGAACTTTCTGGTTAAAAAGCACAAAAGCACCGTGATCTGTTCATTCATGGTACTTGGGATGCCACAGGCGCATGGTTGTCTGTACAGGTGACACACCCTGGATGGGGTGGAGCATGAAGGAAATTTGCCGGTGCTGTTGTCAGGTCAGGGTACATAGGACTGACCCTTTTCCAAATATTCCAAACAAAACAAAGAAAGGAACGTGTTACCGCCTGAGAGAAGCGACAGCCACAGGACCAGTCCGGGGAGGTACGGGTGGAGGCGGTGAGCCCATGACCATCTCAGGAAGCTGGGAAAACCTGTAAGCCTGTGAAAGAGACAAGCAATACAGGGAGAGTTGTTAACACCCAGGGTCGATCAGCACACAGGTTCCTCTTGTTTGAGGAGGAAGCAAACTTCCAAGGGTCAGACTCTGCCTCCTTACTCAGACTTTTTTCTAAGATCTTCCCTCACATGTTTCCAGCCATCTCTTCTACTGCACCTCCCACCACTCTCGCTGGGGCCACTGTACTTACAGGGCCCTCCAACCATTCTCAGAACACGCCAAGTTCTGTCTCACCTTGGGCTTTTCTTCCACCTGGGTGCTTTCCTCACCATTCTTCCCAGGGCTTCACGCTTCATTTCATTCATCCAGCCCCAGACTCCCCTAGAGCCCCATTTATCTATTTTTCATCATGGCAACGATCACTCTCTGACTTTATATGGTTGCTTGTTTATTTACGATCTGCCACCAACTAGAGTGTAATAAGGGCAAGGGCTTTGTTGTCAGAGATATCCTTATACCTGGAACAGTGCCTGGTATATAACAGGTTATCAATAAATATTAGATGATTAAATGGATGAATCATTGATTGTGTTTTACTTTCTCTCAAGGGAGAGCAGGTTTAGTGGAGAAAAGCAATGGATTTGGAGTGAGGACGTATGTGTGAAGGTCCTGATGAGCAAACTTTAGGTCCTTCAGCAACTCAGGTGACCTTTCTGGACCTCTTCTGAAATGGGGACAACAATGCTTGCTCAGAGGGCTGCTGAGAAGATCAGGTAAGTCTGTGTGTGTGTGTGTGTATGTCTTTTGCAATCTATAAAGCACTATTCAAAGATAAAAGACTAGAACTGTCACCAGAAAAGTGAAGACTTTTATCAACATGTGAGGGGATAAAAGCAAAACAGACAGAGACAGACAGGATTAGAAAGAGCCAGGCCACAACCTCCTTTAGCAAGAGAAAATCTAGAAATGCTCTCTGTGAAGACAAAGCTTCACTTGCGGTTCTCATCCGTTTCTTTCTTCAGGTATTCTGCCCATCAGATCTCTCAAGGAGGAGGATGACAGGATTTTAAACCTGAAGGCATCAGGACAAAAAACAGCAGCACAGGGGATCCACAAACAGGATTCTTTCAACTGAATAATGAAGTCTTCTCCCTCCAGCATGATGGCAGACTACATCTTCATAAGGGCCAACCCACTCAATAACGACGAGGTCCAGGATTAAACCTACTTTTTAATGCAGTGTGAAACTGCAAGATGTCAGGGAAATCCCAAGGGACTATTCCCCTACCCCACACCTCAGCAAACTAAAACAAAACCATGAGCTGAAACCAGAGGTGAAAATACTGAAGGTAAGCAAATACGAATGGCGAAGTGGCCTGGAAAACAAACGCCATATTGACAGTTGATGAAGAGATCAAGCCTTGGAACAGAACGAGGTGAGGTGGCTGAACCTGAGGCACTCACCTCCAACACAAAAGGAGGCTAGCATTGGTCCCTTCTAGGGAGGGAGGATGGATGGCAATGATCCCAGCTCAGGCAGAAGCAATTGTAAATCCTTGTTGGAGAAAAGTATCCCTAAAGCAGTCTCTCAGGATTAGCACCGATTAAGATGAAGCAAGTGGAGCTCATGATCTAAGACCATGAACACACCAGAAAAGTGAAGTTAAAAAGAGTAGAAAAAACAAACAAGATTCAGACCTTTAAGGACTTTAGAGTTTGGAACTTCCAGACACAAGACAAAAAATAACAACGTAAAAAATGTTTTTAAGAAATAGTTGACCAGGCTGGGTGTGGTGGCTCACGCCTGTAATCCCAGCACTTTGGGAGGCTGAGGCGGGCAGATCACGATGTCAGAAGATCGAAACCATCCTGGCTAACATGGTGAAACCCCGTCTCTACTAAAAATACAAAAAATTAGCTGGGCGTGGTGGCACGCACCTGTAATCCCAGCTACTCGGGAGGCTGAGGCAGGAGAATTGCTTGAATCCAGAAGTTGGGGGTTGCAGTGGGCCGAGATCACGCCACTGCACTCCAGCCTGGATGACAGAGCAAGACTCCGTCTAAAAATAATAATAATAATAATTGACCAGACAGATACTATTAGAAATGATCCAGCAGATTTGAAAAAGAATAGAACTTTCAGAAGTGAAACATGATTATTAAAATAAAAACATTCAGTGTAGAGGAAGTAAATAATAGATTAATCACAAATAGAGAATTAATAAACTAGAAAATGGAATTGGGGAAATTACTAAGAATGATGCACAATGGGCCGAGAAGATAGAAAATATAAAAGAGAAATACAAGACACAGAGGATGGAATGAGCAGGTCTAACATGCAGCTAACCGAAGTCCCAAAGGAGAGAAGAAGGAAAACAAAGACAAGGCAGTATTTGAAGAAGCAATGGCTAAGAATTTTCCAGAATTGATAAAATAAGTAAATTAATAATCCCAAGTAGGATCAATAAAGTAAAACACACATCTAGATACACTGTAGTGAAACAATACCAAAGGCAAAGAGATCTTAAAAGCAGCCCAAAAGGCCTATCACCTACAAAGGGATGGCAATGACACTAACAAATGGCTTCTCGTTAGCACCCAGAAGACATGGAATGCAAAGTGCTCAGAGAGGAGTCAACCTAGAAGTGTGTCAGCAATACTATCTTTCTAGAACAAGAATGAAAGAAAACATCTGCCCAGATCCAGAAGTACTGACTGAATCAATTTGGAAAGCTACGTTGCTGTGCTGTACTTCCAATTTTTTTTGAGCATCAGTAAACAATGTATGCTAAGACAGCATTCAGGGAACCAAATCTTCAGCTCCACTACATCCTAAATGCCTTGGAGTGCAGTAACCAGGTCTGTCTTATTACAGTAGTCCCCCATCACCAAGCAAAATATCTTGCCCCTAGCCATGTTACGTAACTATTTTCTGAATGAATGCTGAGTGAACAAGGAGTAAGGCAACTCAGGCTGTTATCTTGATTCAGCCATTCACTTTCTCTGGATATGTCATTCAGCCTTTCTGAACCTTGTTTTGGTTTTGTTTTGTTTTGCTTTCCTTGTGAAATAAGGCACTGGCCTATCTCACAAGCTTCCAAACGTTTCTTTAGCCATGACACCATTCCAGCAGACCCTAATACATAGACAGACGAAAGCAGGGCTTCTCTGGTTGAAGTTGGGGAGGAGGTGCCCTGGTGAATTTGGCCCTTCACTTATCTGTCTAATGACCCCCTGAGGACCTCCCTGAACCCTGAGGTTCTGCAGACAGTTAGCAAATCCTTGTCCTGGAGGTCCTTCCAGCTTTACCCTCCATGACTATCAATAAACCAAGTGAGGCACTTCTTTCCCAAAATAGACAAAGGAGATTTACAGCCCCTCTTCTCTCTTCTGGCCTCTCATGCTATTCAGCGGAGGAGACAGACAACCTATTTTTATCTCAGGTTGTTGGAAGGCTTATTCTGTAGTCAGCAGAGTTTCCCAGCCAAGAAAAGGCTTTCTATGTCTGTGGATGTCCTATAGCAGTTCACCAAGAGAACTGATGAAAAATTCTGAACTTCTGACAAGCAGCAAGGGAATTCCCTTCTTGAAGATTTTGCCAGGTACAAAGCAAGATGGCACAGGAGATCAGGCAGACCCTTTTGGGCTGTATCCTCGGGGCCCCAGGACAGCGAGCCACACAAAACACAGAGGGGGCAGCCTGTGCCACGTGCTCGTGGTTGAAGGAATCCTCCCCCAGGGTGTCTTCTACCCACTCCTGTGCATGTTCCCCCTGGTTCTAAGTCCTCTTGTCTTTGCCTTCTAGTTTCCTGCCTCATGTATTTGGAATCTGGCTCTCTCCTGGCTGCTCTGTGACAGGAATCCATTGGAAGCTATTGCACGAAACTGTTGCCAGGTTCCAAGTTCCCAGTGCCACGATGCTGGCTGTGAGGAAAACCTAAGGACCCCGTCTTTTGGGGTCCCTGCCCTCTGGCCAGGAAGGAGATAAAAGACTCAGGACTGAAGGCAGTCAGATTGCAGGTCTCTGAGGCTGAAGGAGGCTGTGTGTGACCAGAAGAGAGCACTCTCTGAGCTCAGAAGTTTGGTTGTAACATGGAAGGAAGGAGGGAACGAAGGAAGGAAGGGAGGGAGGGAGGGGGAGGGGAGGGGAGGGGAAGGGGGGGAGGGGAGGAGAAAGGGGGGGAGGGGAGGGGAGGGGAATGGGAGGGGGAGGGGACCACAGTCTGTTTGAAGTTTCAGTGCTGAGTGTCCCTCGGGAGGGAATGAGGGAAGTGGGTCAGTGCCATACTCTCTAGCATTCCCAGTGGAGAGGGAGCTCTGACGAGCCCCAGTGCATGCTGGTCTCTTCTGTGCATGTGCATTTACCCAGGAGGAGGGATCTGGTGAAGATAAACCTCCAGGGTGGCACTACAGGGGTAACAGGCTGCAGGGGACAGCCTGTGGTTGGAGGGACTGGTAAAGGGGTCCCAAAGAATTTGGGATGCTCAGCAGTAATCGTAGTCATTTTTCCTCCATAGTTCTTCGAATCTAGGGCCCTTTCCCTGTCCCAGGGAAGAAGGAGGCACAAAAGACTGAGGAGGGCACAAGAGCCAATTCTTTTTTTTTTTTTTCTTTTTTGAGACAGAGTCTTGCTCTTTTGCACAGGCTGGAGTGCAATGGCGTGATCTCGGCTCACTGCAACCTCTGCCTCCCAGGTTCAAGCAATTCTCCTGCCTCAGCCTCCCGAGTAGCTGGGATGACAGGCATCCACCACCATGCCTGGCTAATTTTTCTATTTTTAGTAGAGATGGGGTCTCACCATGTTGGCCAGGCTGGTCTTGCACTCCTGACCTTGTGATCCGCCTGACTATTCTTATCAGAGTTTCATAAGCGAAAGCTACTAAATTGCAAGAACCTAGGATTTTGAATATCTAAGTCCTAAAATACTCAGTTTGATGCCATAAACAAGAGATTTCAAAGAAGCGAGGTACATTTACACTCTGTGGATAGGAAGGAGAGGAGAGCCAGAGAGGAAGCAAGAGGTTAGATGCCAGTGGGCCTGGAAAAGGGGCCTTCTGTCCTGTCTCACCCTGGGGGAAGAAGTGGAGGAGAGGACATAAGTCTCATCAAAATTTGGGGAATCTGAAAGACAAGGAACCTGTGTCTGCCTCTAGGAAAGGCCAGGAATCAGCAACAGCACAAAATTCCCCCTCCTTCCACGGGGTGCAGGAAAAGAAGAGTATGGTGGTATGGAAGTAGACCAGAAGTGCCTTTAACAGTCCTGTGTGGTGGCAAAGAAGCCACCGGAGAGGGGCAGGTGCGTGTGTGTGCACGTGTGCTTGAGCAAGAGAATGACAGAGCAAGGGACAGAGTGAGCTCACCTGAACACACACAAGCATGGAAGGAAGGAAGGGAAGAATCTGGTGACGGCGTGTTGAGTAGGAGAAAGAGGATACGGCTATGCTCTGCCTGGACGGGCAACCCGAGAAAAGGTGGGAACAAGGGCTTCTCAGGGACACCAGCTGGAATGGTGAGATGAGGACAAACAGGGACCAGATACTGCAGCCTTCCCCCTACCCAACATCATGTAGGTCCCCATAAAATACGGAGGAAGAGCCTGAACTGAGACTGAGCTTCTGGCACGCAGAGAAGATCACAGAAAAATAAAGTTACTTTTCTTGCCCATCTGAGTTTGTGGGCTGAGATAAGGATTCTCCAGCCTTCCTCTCCCACCTTCCCTCTCTCCCTTCTCACACAGCCTTGCTGTACCAACTGTGGATTTTACTCATTATAAGGATTTTTCTAAGCTTATAAGGGTACTTATTTACCAGAGGTAGGTGACTTACAGGGAAGGATTTCTTGGGGCCGTTCCAAGGCAGAGAGCCCCATTCCCAATCTGGCCCAGATAGATAGAATCATATCTGGTCCAGCTATGATAGAATGGCCTGCCTTCAAGGACTCCTGCGAGCTGGACCATGCTCTGTCAACAGTGACTGGTGCAGGTCCTCTCCTTCCGGGTGAGGACCTCACTTCATCAAACCACTAATAACTTTTGTATAACCAGAGGTGGAAGGAGCCCCAGAATAACTGGCATTGAATCTCTCACGCCCTGGGCCAGATGGGAGTTCAGAATAGATTCAAATTGATTTGGAGAAACACAAGAAATGTAACATTTCTTTTTCTTTTTTCTTTCTTTCCTTTTTTTTTTTTTTTTGAGATGGGATTGTGCTGTGTTGCCCAGGCCAGCCTCGAACTCCTGGGCTCAAGCAATTCTCCAACTTCAGCCTCCTAGTAGCTGGAACTACAGATGCAGAAATGCAACACTTCTTGAATCCAAGTGTTGCGGCAGAATCGAAGTCATAGCTGATATATCTGCATATTTCCTCATTAACAAAGGCTTGGGGGGAGTTGTTTGTTTTTATGAGGAGAGGAGGAAAAAAAGACCATAAAATTCCCAATTTTACCCTAATGGAGATGCCTCCCTTACTAGGGCAATGATAAGAATGGACAAAACTCCAACTGGGTAAGCTGCTGCTGCTGCTGCTTCTTTTTTTTTTTTTTTTTTTTTTACAATAGAGACAAGGTCTTGCTCTATTACCCAGGCTGGAGTACAATGGTGTCATCATAGCTCACTGCAACCTTGAACTTCTGGACTCAAGAGATCTCCCAACTCAGCCTCCCAAGTAGCTAGGACTACAGGCCCAGCCAATTTTTTTTTTTTTTTTTTTTTTCCCCCGTAGAGACAGGATCTCATTATATTGCTCAGGGCTTGTCTTACATTCCTGGTCTCAAGCGAGCCTCCCAAAGTGCTGGGGTTACAGGCATGAGCCACAAAGCCCAGCCTTGGGTAAGCTTCCTTATAAGAAGATTATATTCCAAAGTTTGGATATTCAAGTTCTCATCAGAGCCTGGAAGATGTCCCTATAAGTCACCCAGCGGGTAGAAAGAGCGTGGGATTTGAAGTTAGGCAGCTCTAGGTTCTAACTCCAGTTCTGCCATTTACTGCTGCATAAACTTGGGCAAGTTTCTTTACTTCTCCAAGCTTCAGTTTCCTCACTGAGTACTTTGGGATAATAATATTGATCTCAAAGGGTGGTTGTCGGATTAGAAGAGATAATTTCTACATAGCACTTAGCTGTGTCCAGTAGACAATGGGAGCTCAACAGATGCCAACTGTTGCTGTTATTTTTATTACCATTAATTCCATCTGTAAAGAGTCTAGTGGGGAAGATGTGTTAGCCCTGTTGTCTTTTTTGAAATCCCCTTCTTGTCTCCCAACAACAGGAAGGCTGTAGGATGTTTTAATTCTGCTTGGCATAGATCCATTATGACTGCTAGCAAAATTGGATTGGACATTAGATGTGGAGTCCAATTTCTTCACAGAGTTAACGGGTAAAATATGATCAAGAGTCTCCTGAACTGCAGTGCAGAAATCCCAGGCCACCAGCAGTAACCTTTTCCATGGTATAAATGCCATTAGCCTGGCCTAGTGTATTTAAACCACCAGCTTCCAATTATCTTCTGGCAGAGCTCAAAGCACCTCCTCTTTAGAAGACAGAAAGTAATCATAGTTATCATTCTAAATTGCCACCTTTTCTATGGATTTCCACATTATCAAAGCACAAAAGGACTCTGCATGAGCTTGGGTTAAGAATCATCATCATTTCTACTCTGTATTGTTAGCTATTTTCTCCTTTCCTGAAAATACGGACCTCACAGGTTGTTGATAAAGAAGGAAACCTTAATAACAAAAGACTGCGTTTAATAATGTTCTGATTCGGCCAGCCATGATGGCTCACGCCTGTAATCCCAGCACTTTGGGAGGCCGAGGTGGGTGGATCACCTGAGGTCAGGAGTTTGAGACCAGCCTGGCCAACGTGGTGAAACCCCCTCTCTACTAAAAATACAAAAAAAAAGCTGGGTGTGGTGGTATGCGCCTGTAGTCCCAGCTACTCGGGAGGCTGAGGCACGAGAATTGCTTGAACCTGGGAGGCAGAGGTTGCAGTGAGCCAAGATTGCGCCACTGCACTTGCACTCCAGCCTGGGTGACAGAGTGAGACTCAGTCTCAGAAAAGAAAAGAAAAGAAAAGGTTAGTTCTGGTTTGATGACCCATCTCTCTGTTGTGTTATTTCACAGTCCTTTTCCACTGTAGGTGGCTTCATTTATAATATATATATAATGCTGATGTTTTTGTCCTTCTTGCCACAAACACTAAGCCCCAATTATAATAAGCAGAACCATTTAAGTTTTCATCATATGACCCACAATGGATTTTTTTTTTTTAGATGGTTTTACAAAATTGAGATACGATGGCTATGGGCCATCGCATCTTCTTACCTGTTGGAAGACTTGATCTGGCTGTCTAGGCCTTTCTCTCTGAAACCCAGAACTCATCCCAGATTCCTAGAATCTGGCATCTATACATGCACAAGGCATTGTCTATTACAGTCTATGGTTTATAAAACTATGTCTTTTTAAAAATATATATTTTAGATGCTATGGTGATGAATGAAATGCAAACTAATTAAAATTGTGATTTAAGTCACAAAAACTTATAACTTCTCGGTTTTTGTGATACAAAGATCAAGTGTAAATTACAGAAGCTTTCAGTCATTGGATGCTTTTTCAAATATGGAAATGTAATTGCTACTTAATAAATAATCACAATGAATATTCTTTTTTTTTTTTTTTTTTTTTTGAGACAGAGTCTTACTGTGTCAGCCAGGCTGAAGTACAGTCTCACAGTCTTGGCTCACTGCAACTTCTGCCTCCTGGGCTCAAGCAATCCTCCCACCTCAGCCTCCCAAAAAGTTGGGACTATAGGCGCATGCCGCCACACCTGGCTAATTTTTGTTTAGATGGGGTTTCACCACGTTGCCCAGACTGGTCTCGAACTCTTGAGCTCAAGTGATCGGCCCATCTTGGCCTCCCAAAGTGCTGGGATTATAGGTGTGAGCCACCATGTCCAACCCATGATTAATATTTTTATAGCATTTCCTACGTACCAAGCATTCTTATAGTACCTTACATACACCAACTCATTTAATCTTTACAAGTCTAGGACGTAGCTTATTTTTCTTATTTGTAAAGAATTTAAACAATTTCCCCAAGTTACAAAGCCAGGAAGTGGCTGTCAACCTAAATAACAGATTTTTTTTTTTTTGGTCTCTAAAAATAATGATGTTTATTTGGGAATGGTTATTGCAATGGGAATACCCATGCCATAGTAAACTGTGTTCAGGGAGGCAAAGGAAGACACAAGTTTTTAAAGGAAAAAGAGGGAGGATTGCATAATTGTTTTGAAATAATTATTCTTGGCTGCAAAAATCAATGACGAGTGTGGTACCAGTCCAAGCCTGGACAGGCAGTTGCTGGACAGATGTCCTCGCACAAGTATTTTGTGTGTGTGTAAGGTTGCAATGGCCTTTGTGCAAGATTGTGATTTTTGCAGAGTCTTTTATGATAGTTCTTGCTATCATGGATTTATGCATGAAACTCTCCCTGGCCTTCCTTGGCTCTATTTGCCAGGTTTTCAAAATTTTTCATTTAATTTTATTTAACACAAGTGATTCCATTCTGATTCTGTCAACTTTCATCTGGTAGACCTGAGATTTAAATTCGAGCCATCTGGCTCAAAGCCTGTGCGCTTAAACCACCAGGCCACACAACCCCTTAGCATGTGGCTCTGAGATGCCTTTTGATATTTAAAATGGGTCTCAGGCTTGAAAGTGTAGGAAACCACCAGTGCGTGAAGAATATGGTCAGCCATTTATAGAAGGGATAGTAGAAAAGGCAATTCATTCTAAAATACATTATGGCTGGAAAGAAGGGATTCTCACGTGCATTGTCCACAGGAGTCAAAAAGCTTAGGCTTTGGATCATGGGTGGAAGATGGGATGATGGGATGAGGGCCTGGCATAGTTCATCTCCAGATCCCAAAGCTTTTTATCTGTAGAAGCCCCTGCTCTGAGTCTCCTGTTGGAACTCACTGGGCAGACTGACCAGATGATGGCAGGTGGGTGGAATGAATGACTTACCGGCCGGGGCAGACTGTACTGATACATTTCTGGGCGGTAGGTCGGCACCCACTGCACCCCGGCCCTGGGCCGCGTCATGGTCCCCGGAGCGCTGGTCACCACCTCCGAATAGGGCAGGTGCTGGGCTGAGCCGTAGGCCTCTTGGTGCCGGCTCTGGCCTGCGTGGCCCGCGGATGCCAGGCTGAAGGCCTCCTCCAGCAGCATGTGCATCTGCTGCCTGACCTCGTCGATGGATGGCTGGGAGCTCAGTGTGGAGGTCTCCGAGTGGCCTTTCACCTGTCGAGACCTGGAATAGCCCCGGGGCTCAGGAACTCTGTCAATGTTGGTTTCCTCTATGATTTCAGGCTCAGTCTGTGGGAGGAAACAAAGCCCATTGATGTGTTTACTTTCCTTCCCGTGAAGGTGCTCTGTAATTTACTCTAAAACATTCACTTGGACAGGTGCTAGGATGCATCTGTGCTAATTTAAATTATATCCTACGTGCCCTATCTAGGAATTCACACTACTGGGGTACTCAGCCAGCACTCTATCAGGAAGGCCACACTCTGGCTATCGGTGTGCACTTCAGTTGCCCATAGATTGACCAATGCTGCAGGCTCTGCCTGTTAGTGTAACAGACTCGAGAAATGGCTTTCACCGATGACATTAACGGTACTTTCTAAAATCTTTTAGAGACATTCCCCACCCCTATGCCTTAGGGTATAAGACCCTGGAATGTCTTGTAATCTACACCTGGAGGGGTAGCATTCTAGATTCACTCCCTAAATGGTCCTGTGTCCAGCCTTTGGTTAAGGAAGTGCTGATTGCCTGATGCTACTTATCAGACAGAATAACAAAATCCTGCTTCTAGATCACAGCTCTTAAAGCGTGGTACGCAATCAGAAGCTCTGGGGGTGAGGCCCAGCCATCTGTGCTTTAATAAGCCCGCCAGGAGATTCCGATGCCTGTTCAAATTTGAAATCTACTGATCTAGAACGTTCTCCTGCCTTTCTTCACTGAACCTTTCATTCCAGCGAGCAGCTTCAGTACCAGGGTGGGCAGACAGCTGGAACTTCATAAGCTTCCAGAACAGGCTGCATGGACGGTCTCGTGCTTGCCTGCTAATGAATGCTTGCTTCGTAAGTGTCTGCTTTCTTGCTCTGAGGCTTCTGTGCCATCATTAGGTGGGGATGCCTGTAGGAGTTTATTCCACCAGTCTGGACGTGCATGAATCTCAAGGTGCAAGAACACAGAAGGGAAGAGATAGGGACTGCCAAGGCAATATGGGGAGGCTGCTGCCTTGTGGCGGATGCCACAGCAATAGCTAGACCCCATAAAGGTGCACAGAGAAGATAAAAGACAGGGTGTTCAAAACATTCCAACCAGGAGAGTTACTTTAACTTTCTGGTATTTCAGTTTCCTCATCTGTAAAATGAGGATAATACTGCCTCAAAGGCTTTTATAAGGATTAAATAAAGGTACATCTAAAGATTTTAGAATAGTAGCACATGGTAAAAACAATACTAGTTGCTGTCATCATCATAATCATCACTATTACTTTATTCATTCAACCACACATATTTCCATGTAATTACTATGTATAAAGCACCTTGATATATAAAATAAGCACAGCAAGTAAATGAGGGAATTCACCCAAAATGGGGAGTCCTTCCCTCCTTAAATATTACACATGAAGGTCATAACTGCATTATACTTCATTTTAAAAAGTATATTTACCTTTTTAGCATTAAATTAATACATGCTCATTAGCAAAGAAAGTGAAAATATAGAAAGCACAAAAAAATTACACGTTTCTTGTCATCTTATCTCCTAGAGTTAGGACTTGGCTAAAGTTCAAGATGAAAAGTGAGGTTTTCTATCAGCCTCTAAGTCTAGATTTATCAACAAACATCTACAGTAAGTAATTTAAAATATTGTAATATTTTTATACTAATAAGAGCAAGGACAGATTCTGGAGTAGAATGTAAAGTTACCTTTGCGATCATAAACAAGAACTCAAAGACATTTCATGCCTGGGTGCATGCCCCCCAAACTCCTGGGCTGGGGGACATATTGGGGCTCTTCTGCTCTTAGAAGCTCTTAAGAGAAAAAGCTTAAGGTCGCTGAGTGGGAAATGTGCTCCCTGAAAGCCAGCAGATCTGCCTGTTGAGATGTGGTTTTGCCTGGCGATACCTTCTAGAACACGAATGCAACCCTTGAAAGTTACGTTCTTCACAATGCATAGAACATTCAGAACTGAATTTCAGAGCCTGAAGGGACTTTAGGAGATCATTAAACTCAAGCCCCATTTTACATATGGGGAGGTGACTTATCTAAAGTTATGCAGAAGCAGGCAATGGCAGAGCCTCCTGCTCCCAGCTCCTGACCCATGCACATCCTGCAGCACGGCACTGCCTCTCATGTAAATGTCCTGTTCATGCTGGTTGCTAGCCACACAAGGCCCTTCCTCCCTACATCCAGAGTCTCCCTGATACATAACGGAGGCTTAATGCTCAACTGCTCCCAGGTGGGAGATTAACAGCACAGGGGTGAGCTGAGGTACAATTTCCCCACCCCTGAGCTGTGCTGTGCATTTCCAGACATATTGGTAGATCTATTATCACATGAATTTATAGTTGTGCCTTAGGGCAAAAGCATACTCCTTAGCAACATCTCCCTATTCCCACTGCCCCAAGAGCCCTGGGGTGGGGTAGTACTGGGGGTGGGTGAGTTCTCCGAGTAAGGTTGGTAGGGGAGTGCTAGGCCACCACACATATATATGTTATATATATACACACATACATAAGTGCTACCTTTGCTGGGAAGGTGGAGACTTTTTCTCCAGGCTCCCACTGCCACCTACCCCATGATCCCCAAATGAAGATCAGCCTCTGCTTCCCCCACAGGGTTTCCATTCTGCATGGGGAGTTCCCTTTAATTGGAAGGTCCAAGTATACTCTCCACAGGCTTGATGCGGCCACCAATCATCTCTCGATAGCTACAGATAGAAACAAGACTAGCTCTCATTATACCTGGCTTCCTCTCATCACACTTGGATTTGCTTACTTAAAGTATGACTTCCCCAAGACTGGATACTCCCTGAACCCATTTCACCTCTGTTTCTCAGGAGCCTAGCACAGGCACTTGGCATTCAATCAAGCTTTGTGAACTTAAACTGAAATAAATTCTGTCCACTTCCCCTTGTTAGATAGATAGAAGTTCTAAATTTCTTTTCAAAGAATCAGTATGTCAGTATGCTCAATTCTTTGCCTTCTACTTTTAAACTTAACTTCCTTGTAAAGAAACCTTTTTCGATTACCTGGTTCACCCTGACTCATTCCAATTACCTGCTCCACCCTGACTCATTCCGATTACCTGCTCCACCCTGACTCATTCTGATTACCTACTCTACCCTGACTCATTCCAATTACCTGCTCTGTCATAACCATTTCCACCCCCCCAAACCACTCACCCCGTCACTCTCTTTAAATCAGCCAATCGGAATTAGTTTAGCCTGTGCAGTCTAACCTTAGCCAATAGGGGAACGATACAGCAGCAGAGGCCACATGCGTCAGGGGTGAGAACCCCTTCCCCTCCCTTATCCAAGTGTGCGCTCACCATTGCTCCATCTATAAGGGTGCACCCTTCTATAGAAGTAACTTGCCTTGCTGAGAATTGAAAAGAAAATTTTACATTCAAGTGCTATTTCTTTTGCAGCACCGTAACTTTATTTATAACACCCTTGAGGTGGAAGTTGAGGTTAAGGTAAAAGGCCCACTTTCCCTAACACATTTCTTCCAATGCTAATGAGTTGCATGACAATAAGAAGTTGCAGGAACCCCCTAAGCCTCAGGCTCCTCATCTGTAAAATGGGAGAGTTGAACTATGGTCTGACATTTATGTTTCTTGGACTCTACTTGCTCTAGGAGATGCCATACTCCTCCTATTATCATCATCTTTGGGGGAATCTGACATCTACTCATGAAGAGAAACATCCCTGCACCTCCCTCCCCCACTAAAACATATTGAGTAGTGATAAGTTTGTCCTTTTGCTTAACAGACAATTATTGGTTTCAACCCTGTACTAGACCCTGGGTTGGGGGTGATGGATACAATACTTAATAAGATAGTGACCCAGCCCTCAAGGAGCTCCCAGTCAATGGCAGGAAACAAATAATAACAATACCAATAATAGCAGCTAATATTTATTAACAGCTTACATGCCAGGCACTGTTTTAAGTACTTTAAACATATCGGCTCTTTTTGTCCTTATAAGAACTTATGAAGTAACAACTATGAATATTCCCACTTTACAGAAGAGGAAATTAAGGCATTGAAAGACAAATGTGTTCCCCATAATTAGCAGGACTGAGATTTGAACACAGACAGTTTGATTCCGTCACCTAAGCTCTTACCCACTGTGTATATATATATATATATATATATATATATATATATATATATATATATATATATATATATATACAGATCCATTACCATACTATAGTTGTGGGCTCTGACAGAGTCAAACAAATTTCTGTGACCAGAAAAGAAGATAAAATACTTATTGAGATAATCTACCTTATAGATTACTATAAGGATGAAAAGCATCAATGTATAAATACAAAGCATTTATATTATATATGTGCCACAGTATCTGGCACATCAGCATTTGTTTAATAAATGTTAGCTGCAATTATTATTGTTGCTGTTATCTGTCTCCTTCCATAGACTGGGAACTCCTTCAGGGTTGGGTCAGTGTCTTATAATCATTGTATTCACAGCCCCCAATCCGGGACCTTCCCCAGAGGTGAAGCTGTAATTGTCTGTTTAGCGAACAAATATAGTAGGTGCTCAAATTGACTCGAGGACCTGTGGTGTGCCAGCTCTGTGCTGGCTTTTCCACGTGGGTTTCCTCACTCAGTCTCTCGGAGCTCTGCAGTTGTGTCCATTTTCAGATATGAGATATCACATCTACTGGCTGAACTTGCCCTAAACCCTTCTCCCTCACTGGCATATTTCTGAAAATGCCTTTTGCTTTTATTTGACAAAAGAGGGGAGACAGGAACAAAGACAAATCTCCCAGTGTTGGCTGACAGTTGGCTTGGGTTGGGACCGTATCTGGGACACAGAATGTATTTTTAAACCTCTTTAACTTGGAATGGACCATACTTGCTTCTCTGACTTCCTATTCTTGAAAAGCTCTGAGAAACTCATTTTTTTCAAAAAGCTGTTTTTATAAATTAATCAAGATATACTTCAATAAAAATTCTAAAAATATTCATCGAGGAATGTCTGTTCATGGTCGGAAATTAGAAAACACAGATAAGCAAAAGGAAGAAAATTAAAATCTACTCTAATCTGATCGCCAGAAATAACTACCGTTAACATTTTTACGTCGTGCACATCCTTCCAGATGTTTTCTATGCATATGAAATAGGATGAGGATTATGAATGCTAAAGCACTGCCAACGCTCTCCCCACTGCCCCAGGCCACTACAGAGAGTGTGAGCTTGACCCAGGTCAGTTTCTCCTTCTTCCACTTCCAAGGAGAGCCCACGCTTTGCCACATAGATTGTGTGCGTGATGGAGACTAGGAAGTGGGGATGGGCAATGAGAGGCAGAAGAGGTGTGGACTGCAGAATTTTATAGTGAGATTTTCAAGAGAGGTGCAGAAGCAGGTGTGGCATGTGAATGGCAGAGTAATTAAGGGAATTTAGAAAGTTTTACTGAGTATGATGTATTTGCCTTCTCACATATAAAAATATAAGTAAAGGAGTAGAGGTATTTTAAAATTACTTTTGTTGGCAGAGTTCTTTTGACTTAGATACTCTCTCAGACTGAGCTGTTTGGGTCATGATTTTATAAACAGAATACATACACACATATACATATATATGTAGGCATATATGTATATTTTATATATATGTAAACACACACACATATATGCAGGCATAAATATATATATGCACACATATATAAGGTTTTTAAAAATGACATTACAATATTTTGAAACCTTTTTAATTCAACAATATTGTAAGTAAGTATCTCCATCAATAAATAAATGTATAGAGAATAAGGATTTCATAGCATTCTAATAAATGGAGTTTTTAGGCTACCATATATTTAATAGTCCACTATTTTAGGTGTTTTCCTAATATCTTACTATATGAACAAAGCTGGAGTAAGTATCCTTGTGTTTAGAACTTTGCATATATGGCTGGACACAGTGGCTCATGCCTGTAATCCCAGCACTTTGGGAGGCCAAGGCGGGCGGATCATTTGAGGTCAGGAGTTCGAGACCAGCCTGGGCAACATGGTGAAATGCCGCCTCTACTAAAAATAGAAAAATTAGCCAGGCGAGGTAGCGCGCGCCTGTGATCCCAGCTACTCCAGAGGCTGAGGCAGGAGAATCGCTTGAGCCCGGGAGGCGGAGGTTGCAGTGAACCAAGATCACACCACTGCACTCCAGCATGGGTGACAGAGCGAGACTCCATCTCAAAAATAATAATAATAATAAAAGAACTTTGCATATAATCATGAGTTTATCCTTAGGTTAAATTTCTAGAAGGAGAATTACCAGGTGAGAGGATATACACGTAATTATAGTTTTGGAGAGTTATGGTATATCAGAACTCAGTAGCAAAGGCCACAGTATTTAGAAGAGATTTAAGCCATTCCTCTTCCACACATGGGCCCCTGGTCTTGCGCTTCATGGTGGCCATTGGATAGAGGAAGCACCTGGAATTCTTTTAATGTTGTTTTAAAATGAGTGAACCAGTCCAATACATCTACAATAGTGCACACAGTGGCTAAGTACCCACGACTTCATCCTCTCTTTGAAACACCATGAGAACAAACTTGAAGAAAATTGTAGCCCTGCTGGGAACCCCAAGTATCTTCTTCCTAAAAAATATTCCAAAACAATTTAGTCCTGGGGCACATTCTGTAGCTTTAAGTCTTATTCAAAATTAAAACTACTATCTTATCAGACAACTAATGGAAAGACAAGCTACCAACCACAAGAAAATATTAGGATTTGTATCCACAATATATAAATAGTTCCTACAAATGAATAACAAAAAGACAAGCAACTCAATTTAGAAATTGGGCAAAAGGCTTGAAAAGATACCTCAATGAAAGAAGACACAAAAATGTCCAATAAACACGTGGAAAGATGATCAACATCATTAGGAATAAGGAAATTATATCATTTCATATTCAGTGGAATGGCTAAAATGAGAAAGATTAATAACAACAAATGTTGGTGAGGTTTAAGACTAGAATTAGAACTGTTATACTGCTAGTGGGAGAGGCAACAGTGCAAAAACTTTGTAAATTTGACTACAATTTCTTAAACATATACCTACCCTATGACCCAGAAATTCCACTCCTACATATTTATCCAAAATAAATGAAAACACTTGTTAAGAAAACACATGAAAATGTTTATGGCAGTTTTTTTTTTCATACTAGCTTCACACTGGAAGCAATCCAAATGTCCAACAATAGGATAATGGATAAACAAATAGTATTATATTTATAAAATGGAATAGTACCCAGTATAAAAGAGAATAAAATACTCATAGATGAGTATTTTATTTATTTATTTATTTATTTATTTTTTTTTTTTTTATTTATTTTAGAGAATAAAATAACATAGATGAATCTTGAGTGAAAGAAGTCAGACACAAAAGAGTACATACTGAATAAATCCATTTATATGAAGTTCAAGAACAGGCAAAACTATAGTGGTTTATATCAGACAAGTGGTTGCCTATGGGTGAGCTGAATATTGACTGAAAAAAAAAGTGAGGGAGTTTTCTGGGAGTGATGAAAACGTTTGGTATTTTCATTGGTCTGGTGGTTATAAGGGTGTACACTTTTGTCAAAGCTCATCACATTGTGTACTAACAACCTGTACATTTTTACCATATGTCAATTTTCCCATACTAAAAGAAACAAAACAGATTGACATAGCTAGCTTGATGGGGATGGTCAGGGAAAGCTTCTCTGAGGAGATGCCATGTTTTCAGACCTGAAGGAGGAGAAGAGGTTGCCCATGTGATGGTTGTAGGAAAGCCCAGAGGTGAGAGAGAGTTGGTAGTGCTTGAGAAAAAGAAAGGACTGTTACAGAATGAACTGTGTCCCCCACAAAATTTTTATGTTGAAGTCCTAACTCCTAGCATCTCAGAATGTGACTGTATTTGGAGATGGCGCCTTCACACAGGTAATTAAGTTAAATGAGGTCATTAGAGTGGACCCTTGGGTCCAAAGGACTGATCCTTCTAAGAAGAGGAAATTTGGACACAGCATGTACAAAGGGAAGCCGATATGAAGGCTCAGGGAAGAGATGGCCTTTCATAAACTCAGGAAAGATACCTGGAACGCATCCTTCCCTCATGGCCCTCAGAAGAAACCAATCCTACCAACACTTTGATCTAGAACTTGTAACCTCCAGAACTGTGAGAAAATAAATGTCTGTTGTTTAAGCCATACCACCCAGTCTGTGCCCTAGCAAACTAATATACAGACCTTGTAGCTGAAGCCCTAATTGTCAGGACATGGGGCTGGAGAGGAAGGCAGGGTCCAGATCATGCAGGGTCTTAAAGGCCATGGTAAGAAGGCTGGACTGTTGTCAAAGGGCAATGGGAAACTACTGAAGAATTTTAAGCAGGGAAGAAATGTGATTGGAATTTATGGGAGGCCGGTTAGGAAGCACTTGCTTGCGGCTCTGGCCGTAACCTAGGCCAGAAGAGATGACAGGGGCCTGGATTAGGGTGGTCATGGACAGACAAGGGGTAGGTGAGTTCAAGATGTATTTTGGAAGAGAACTGGCAGAGCTGCTGACAGATTAGATGTGAGAGTGAAGGAAAGCCAAGAGTTGAAGCCAAGACTCTTTACCAACAAGAGGAACTGTGCTACATGGGTCTCCTTAATGGTCTCTGAGCTCCCCAAGCATGTCTGGGCCCTTCCACTTGCTGAATTTTCTGCCTGGAAAGCTCTTCCCCTGGGGCAAGCATTTTAGGTCTGCTCAAAAGTCACCTCCCTGGAGAGCCCTGCCCTGCCCAAGCTATTCAGAGAAGCTCCTGGTACTCTCCACTGCCTTCCTTGAGTTATGTTCCTCCATAGCCTTCCCGACACTGTGCTGTACATGTATGTGTGTGGGTGTTTGTTGCCAGTTTTCCCTAGTGTAATAAATTAGTCTCCCTTATCCTCAGGGAAAATGTTCCAAGACCCCCACTGGATGCCTGAAATCGTGGAGAGTAATGAATCCTAGATACATGATGTTTTTTCTCATACAAACCTATAATAAAGTTTAATTTATAAATTAGGCACAGTGAGAAATTAACAACAATAGCTAATAATAAAAGAACAATTATAACAATATACTGTTCACAATTTCATGGGTAGAAGATTCGTTCTTGGCTGGGCGTGGTGGTTCACGCCCGTAATCCCAGAACTTTGGGAGGTCGAGGCTGGTGGATCACTTGAGGTCAGGAGTTCAACACCAGCCTGGCCAACATGGTGAAACCCCATCTCTATTAAAAAGGCAAAAATTAGCTGGGCGTGGTAGTACATGCCTGTAATCCCAGCTACTTGGGAGGCTGAACCCAGGAGGTGGAAGTTGCAGTGAGCCGTGATTACGCAAATGCAATCCAGCCTGGGTGACACAGCGAGACTCTGTCTCAAAAAAAAAAAAAAAAAGAAGATTCATTGTTACCAGAGATTGTAGCAACCTCAGGATACAATTTTTTTTCTTTCCTTACTAAGTCAGCAACTTTCACCTATTAAAGGAAGCACTAGAGGGCTTTTCTTTGTCATAACCAAATTGCGTTACCACTCTCACCCTTTGGAGCCACCATTAAGTAAAATAAGGGTTACCTGAACACAAGCACTGGCATGCTGCGACAGTGGTTGTCTGAATAACCACTGTGTGACTAAGTGACTGACAGCTGGGTAGCATAGACATTATCCTTGTTGACCAGGATAAGCTGGACAAAGGCAAGATTCATGTCCTGGGTGGGATGGAGTGGGATGGCGTCAGACTTCATTACACTACTCAGAATGGCACACAATTTAAAACGTATAAATTATCTTTGGAATTTCCCATTTAATATTTTCAGATCATAGTTGACCGTAAGTAGCTGAAACCATGGATAAGTGGTGACTACTGGATAAGCCCCATGAGGGCAGGGATATTGTCATATTTTCTGCCGTATCCCAGAATGGCATGTGGTAGAACATTAATAAATACTCACTGAATAAATGAGTGTTAAAAGTCTGGAGA
This sequence comes from Homo sapiens, assembly GCF_000001405.40. Taxonomy (NCBI): domain Eukaryota; kingdom Metazoa; phylum Chordata; class Mammalia; order Primates; family Hominidae; genus Homo; species Homo sapiens. The sequence goes on along the minus strand of NC_000011.10, from coordinate 33,635,766 downwards.
ATTCCTACTCAAAAGTCTTCAACAGTAAAAGACATTTCCATTTGTCTAAAATGAATGAAACAGTTTTGTCTAAAATGAATGAAACAGTTTTATCTAGAATGGGCTTAACGAAGAGGGATAAAGGGCTCTTGAGGCCACTTATTCTAGAATTTCTTGAGTTAGGCGCCCCGAAGTGAACAGGGGTTTTACAAGCCCACACTTTCCAGGACACACAAGTGGGTGTAACATCACTTTACCTCACCTTGTTACTTCATTTCTGGAGCATAGGAATTTGAAGCCTCTCTCCAAACCCTGCCCCAAAGCCCAGATTTTCAGCTCAGTGTCAATCGCAGCTCCATCCTGCACGAACAGATTCTGAACAAATTATGCAACTTCGTGGCAAGGGCCCAGAGACCGAGTGGGGGTTTCAGCAAGATAAATTCCTGGGCCATCTGGCCATGATGAAATTTATCTGGCTCCATGTCCATTTTTATTTTCCACCAATCGGAGTCTTTTGGGCCACACAAAACAGTGCCACTTCTCTCCATTTAATGCCTCCTCTGCCCACTGCAAGTGCTGCCTGTTACTGAGGAAGGAGAGACATATTTAGAAAGTTGCTTCTGGAAACCACATTTCAGGAAGTTCTCACTTCACCAGGTGGGAAGAAGACCATGATGGTACAGGAGCAGAGAGACCTTTGGCAGCAGTTTCCCATAAGCCTGCATCCTGGAAGCTTCTCTAATAATAAAGTGAGATTGGTTCCCCTCAGAACAGGCAGTGGGGTTCAAAATAATGGCTTGGTCACTTTTCTGCAAAGGCGTGCAAATGGAATTAAAAAAAATTTTTTCAGCAAAATTTCAAATTTCATTCTGATGGCCCTTCCAAAGGATGATCTACGATCACTCCAGGGCTATGAGGATGTGAGGACAGCATGCTGTTTCTGTGTTTCAGTTCAGTAGAAAAGACATATAAAGGGTCTCTCATAGACTTCTAAGGAAATAGGGACATCCTCTTTCAGAGAGGACCTTTCAGAGAGTGACTCATAATCAGAGTCTCCACTGAGACTATGAAGATGGGACAGACAAGGATAAAAGAAGGTGCTCCAATGCTCTCAGCATTACTCACTGCCCCTAAAGCAAAACATCTTCCCCGTGTAACAGAAGTCTTAGGTGCCAGCTCAACTTCCCGTCTTTCTCCCCCCATAACTTGTTGCTCTCTAAGGAGCAGGGGAAATTCAATTACTGAGCAGCCCACAAGATCCATTTGCCTTGAGTTGCAACCACTGTCCCACCCTGTGTTTGCAAAAACATTACCTTAAAGGTCATCTCTGGAAGTGTGGCCTTGTACTACGGCCCATCTCTTGTCCAGTCATGCTGGAGAAAGGCACCCTTGGAGGAATGCAGTCCTCTCTTTGGTGTGTGACACAATTCAGAGCAGTAAGCGCAGGCCGGGCGTGGTGGTTCAAACCTGTAATCCCAGCACTTTGGGAGGCCGAGGTGGGTGGATCACTTGAGGTCAGGAGTTCCAGATAAGCCTGCCCAACCTGGTGAAACCCTGCCTCTCTTAAAAATACAAAAATTAGCTGGGCATGGTGGTGCATGCTTGTAATCCCAGCTACTCAGGAGGCTAAGGCAGGAGAATTGCTTGAACCCGGGAGGCAGAAGTTGCAGTGAGCTGAGATCATGCCACTGCACTCCAGCCTGGGCGACAGAATGAGACTCTGTCTCAAAACAACAACAACAACAACAAAAACAGAGTAGTAACTGCTAGAAAAGAAACAGGAAAAGGGGAGTATCGCCCTCTCCCTCCTGGGGAGTTATAATAGCTAATGTTCACCGCCTGTTTTCTACATGCTTTGTCTGCATTAGCTCATTTAATTTCCACAACATCCTCATAAAGTAGGTACCACTGGTATCCCCATTTTACAGATGAGAACACTAAAGCGCAGATAGGAAGGTAACTGGCCTAACTTCACGTAGCTTGTAAGTAGCCTAGCTCCAGAGGCTATGAGCACAGCCCCTACACTGTACTACCTGTGAACTTCAAGAACAATATATAAACCACAGTCATAATTAAAAACACCTCTTCAAAAGGAATCCACCCGAAAGTAAACATATCAGAATGGCTTTCTCTCTTGGAAAGCTAATTCGCGTTTTGCTTTCTAGGTGAGTCATCACCTGCTTTTTTTCATCTTAGCTGAGCTGGCACTGCAGGGAGCGAGGACACTGGGAGGATCTCTCCCGTGAGTTAGCACTATTCCATCACAAACAGGCTCTCCCCGCCATCCACTCAAGTCTGCCCTTTCACCTCTTCAGCTCTTGAAAAAACCAGACGGATGCACAAAATCCCTCTGTCACTCTATCTGTGTCTAAAACATGAACCTCTGACTGTAGCCTGGACTTCCCGAGCTCACAGTGAATAGCAGTCGTTACACAACACCACGCTGATCTTTCCCTTCAGAATGGGCCAACCAAAGATGACAAGAGGGCTGGGCGCAGTGACTCACACCTGTAAAAATCCCAGGACTTTGGGAGAAAGAGGCGGGCAGATCACCTGAGGTCAGGAGTTCAAGACCAGCCTGGCCAACATGGTGAAACCCTGTCTCTACTAAAAATACAAAAAAAAAAAAAAAAAAAAAAAAAAAAAAAGCTGGGCATGGTGGTGGGCACCTGTCATCCCAGTTACTTGGGAGGCTGAGACAGGAGAATCGCCTGAACCCAGGAGGTGGAGGTTGCAGTGAGCTGAGACCACACCATTGCACTCCAGCCTGGGCAACAAGAATGAAACTCTGTCTCAAAAACAAACAACAACGACAAAAAACACAAAGATGACAACAGGCTGAAACTGGAGGGAAGAGTGACGTGGAGGAGACTGTTGGGTGTGTTCCTTAAAATGCCCAACACAGTGCTCATGTTTATAATCCCAGCACTCTGGGAGGCTGAGGTGGGAAAATTGCTCAAAGCCAGGAGTTCTAGGCCAGCCTCTATGGGCAACATAGGGAGACCCCATTTCTACAAAAATAAATAAATAAATAAATAAAAATTAAAAATTAACCAGGTATGGTAGTAGTAGTTCTAGCTACTTGGGAGGCTGAGGAGGGAGGCTCGCCTGAGCCAAGGAGGTTGGGGCTGCAGTGAGCTGTGATTATGTCACTGTACTCCAGCCTGGGCAACAGAGCAAGATCTGTCTCTCTAAATAAAAAAGTCCAACTACAAGTGTTCCTCAAGCAGCAGGTACTGTAGCAGGCACTGTGATGGCCTCAGCATCCATCTCCTTCTCTCCCTGTGTTTCAGCCAGGGGGGCTAGCTGGGACTAAGCTGCCCCAGCTCCATCGATGGGGCCTGACCAAGTTAAATTAATCAGTGTAATCTCCCCGCATTCACTGCTACAGTGATTCATGAAGGGCTGGACACTTGGCATATGATGGCTCAGTCAGAGTAAAACCCATAAACCTTGTCTTGAGGTTGGGAAAAGAGAATTCCCTCTTGCACTGGTCCATACAGGATGTAGATATGAGGCCTGGGATTTCTTACCAGAGTCCACCTGTGGATACAGCCAACACACAAGGGAACACAGACCTGTGTATAATGCAGAGGAACAGACTGGGGCCCCAACCAAACCATGCCTGGATTTACCGTAAACAATTCACCCTGTTCATGTTTTAAGATCGTTTAAGTTGGAGTTTCTGTTGCTTTTGCCAAAGGATTTTAGTGGATAACCACCATTCACAGTGAACTCCAAATGGCAATGGACATCAGCCTATGGTTTTGATATTCCGTCAAATCTAATGTGTATTTGGCTCAGAGCTAGAAACGTGACCCATTTTTTCAAGTCTCAGCTCAGGAGTCACCTCTTCTGTTTGACACACTTGTTTGTTCATTTGCCCAACAAATAGAGACACCGCATCTACTGTGTGCCAGTTACTATTCCGAGTGCTGTGGTTTCAAGGATAAATAAAACATGACTCCTGTCCTCGAGGAGTTGCATGGGGAAATAACACAAGTGAACTAACTAATGGAAGTTGGAGGTGAAGGCTTTGATTGGGGTATCAGGGGCTACTGGAACACAAAGGAGGGGCCCATAGGCATAGGGGCCAGGAAAAGGTGCTGGGGAAGGTCATGTTTAAACCAAGTTCCAAAAGCATTGCTTAGGTCAGTAGTTCTCAGCCAGGAGCAGGTTTGACCACCAGGGGACATCTGCAATGCCTGGAGACGTATTTTGGTTGTCACAACTGGGAGGGGCTTCTGGCACCTCAGGCATAGGTAGAGACCACGGATGCTGCTAAAAACCCTGTAACGTACAGGACAGCGCACCATATGAAGAAACTCTACAGCCCTAAGTGTTAACAGCGAGGAGGCTGAGCAGCCTGGGCCTGGATGAAGCAGGTGGGAAGGGAGATTCCAGGCGGAGTGATGCATGCATGCAAAAACCCGGAGATGAGAAACCACAGGACAAGTTTGGGGAAGGTGTTCAGGCTGGAGCCAAGGGGGTGGTTGAAGGAGTAACACGCGTCAGCTAGAAGGGCACATCTGGGCCAGCCAGAGCAGAAAAGTGCTGAGCTGGGAGCTTAGAGTCTGAGTTTTATCTCCAAAGCTATGGGGAGCTCCTGGAGGATTTTGAACAAGAGTGTGTGTTTTAGAAGGATGTCCCTGGCAGCTGTCTGGCAGCTTCAGCAGTGGTGAGTAATGGAGACAGTACTGGGCAGTGGCTGTGGGACAGACAGGAAGGAACAAACCCTCAGGAGCACTTCCTCTTCCCATCCAAGTTCATTGCCACAGTACGTTGCACGTGCCTCCACCTCTCTCCTCCACTAGTAATTACCTGGCCATGCACGAAAATTAATACATCTTTCCCTTCTCCACAGAGCCTCACACGGGTTGATACAGTGGAATCTCATACAAAGCTTAGATGCTAATGCTAATGCCAGCCAGCAGAGTAGGTAAAAATCATGTAGAGAAAAGCCCTTGAAAATCTCTTAAATCGGGAGGAGCCAAGATGGCCAAATAGGAACAGCTCCGGTCTACAGCTCCCAGCGTGAGCGACGCAGAAGATGGGTGATTTCTGCATTTCTATCTGAGGTACCGGGTTCATCTCACTAGGGAGTGCCAGACAGTGGGCGCAGGTCACTGGGTGCACGCACCATGCATGAGCCGAAGCAGGGCGAGGCATTGCCTCACTCGGGAAGCGCAAAGGGTCAGGGAGTTCCCTTTCCTAGTCAAAGAAAGGGGTGACAAACGGCACCTGGAAAATCGGGTCACTCCCACCCGAATACTGCGCTTTTCCGACAGGCTTAAAAAATGGCGCACCAGGAGATTATATCCCGCACCTGGCTCGGAGGGGCCTACGCCCACGGAGTCTCGCTGATTGCTAGCACAGCAGTCTGAGATCAAACTGCAAGGTGGCAGCGAGGCTGGGGGAGGGGCGCCCGCCATTGCCCAGGCTTGCTTAGGTAAACAAAGCAGCCGGGAAGCTCGAACTGGGTGGAGCCCACCACAGCTCAAGGAGGCCTGCCTGCCTCTGCAGGCTCCACCTCTGGGGGCAGGGCACAGACAAACAAAAAGACAGCAGTAACCTCTGCAGACTTAAATGTCCCGGTCTGACAGCTTTGAAGAGAGCTGTGGTCCTCCCAGCATGCAGCTGGAGATCTGAGAACGGGCAGACTGCCTCCTCAAGTGGGTCCCTGACCCCTGAGCAGCCTAAGTGGGAGGCACCCCCCAGCAGAGGCAGACTGACACCTCACACGGTCCAGTACTCCAACAGACCTGCAGCTGAGCGTCCTGTCTGTTAGAAGGAAAACTAACAAAGAGAAAGGACATCCACACCAAAAAACCATCTGTACATCACCATCATCAAAGACCAAAAGTAGATAAAACCACAAAGATGGGGAAAAACAGAGCAGAAAAACTGGAAACTCTAAAAAGCAGAGCGCCTCTCCTCCTCCAAAGGAACGCAGTTCCTCACCAGCAACGGAACAAAGCTGGACGGAGAATGACTTTGACGAGCTGAGAGAAGAAGGCTTCAGACGATCAAATTACTCCGAGCTACGGGAGGACATTCGAACCAAAGGCAAAGAAGTTGAAAACTTTGAAAAAAATTTAGAAGAATGTATAACTAGAATAATCAATACAGAGAAGTGCTTAAAGGAGCTGATGGAGCTGAAAACCAAGGCTCGAGAACTACGTGAAGAATGCAGAAGCCTCAGGAGCCGATGTGATCAACTGGAAGAAAGGGTATCAGCGATGGAAGATGAAATGAATGAAATGAAGCGAGAAGGGAAGTTTAGAGAAAAAAGAATAAAAAGAAACGAGCAAAGCCTCCAAGAAATATGGGACTATGTGAAAAGACCAAATGTACGTCTGATTGGTGTACCTGAAAGTCATGGGGAGAATGGAACCAAGTTGGAAAACACTCTGCAGGATATTATCCAGGAGAACTTCCCCAATCTAGCAAGGCAGGCCAACATTCAGATTCAGGAAATACAGAGAACACCACAAAGATACTCCTCGAGAAGAGCAACTCCAAGACATATAATTGTCAGATTCACCAAAGTTGAAATGAAGGAAAAAATGTTAAGGGCAGCCAGAGAGAAAGGTCGGGTTACCCTCAAAGGGGGAAGCCCATCAGACTAACAGCGGATCTCTCGGCAGAAACTCTACAAGCCAGAAGAGAGTGGGGGCCAAAATTCAACATTCTTAAAGAAAAGAATTTTCAACCCAGAATTTCATATCCAGCCAAACTAAGCTTCGTAAGTGAAGGAGAAATAAAATACTTTACAGACAAGCAAATGCTGAGAGCTTTTGTCACCACCAGGCCTGCCCTAAAAGAGCTCCTGAAGGAAGCGCTAAACATGGAAAGGAACAACCGGTACCAGCCGATGCAAAATCATGCCAAAATGTAAGGACCATCGAGACTGGGAAGAAACTGCATGAACTAACAAGCAAAATAACCAACTAACATCATAATGACAGGATCAAATTCACACATAACAATATTAACTTTAAGTGTAAATGGACTAAATGCTCCAATTAAAAGACACAGACTGGCAAATTGGATAAAGAGTCAAGACCCATCAGTGTGCTGTATTCAGGAAACCCATCTCACGTGCAGAGACACACATAGGCTCAAAATAAAAGGATGGAGGAAGATCTACCAAGCAAATGGAAAACAAAAAAAGGCAGGGGTTGCAATCCTAGTCTCTGATAAAACAGACTTTAAACCAACAAAGATCAAAAGAGACAAAGAAGGCCATTACATAATGGTAAAGGGATCAATTCAACAAGAAGAGCTAACTATCCTAAATATATATGCGCCCAATACAGGAGCACCCAGATTCATAAAGCAAGTCCTGAGTGACCTACAAAGAGACTTAGACTCCCACACATTAATAATGGGAAACTTTAACACCCCACTGTCAACATTAGACAGATCAACGAGACAGAAAGTCAACAAGGATATCCAGGAATTGAACTCAGCTCTGCACCAAGCGGACCTAATAGACATCTACAGAACTCTCCACCCCAAATCAACAGAATATACATTTTTTTCACCACCACACCACACCTATTCCAAAATTGACCACAAACTTGGAAGTAAAGCTCTCCTCAGCAAATGTAAAAGAACAGAAATTATAACAAACTATCTCTCAGACCACAGTGCAATCAAACTAGAACTCAGGATTAAGAATCTCACTCAAAACCACTCAACTACATGGAAACTGAACAACCTGCTCCTGAATGACTACTGGGTACATAACGAATGAAGGCAGAAATAAAGATGTTCTTTGAAACCAACGAGAACAAAGACACAACATACCAGAATCTCTGGGATGCATTCAAAGCAGTGTGTAGAGGGAAATTTATAGCACTAAATGCCCACAAGAGAAAGCAGGAAAGATCCAAAATTGACACCCTAACATCACAATTAAAAGAACTAGAAAAGCAAGAGCAAACACATTCAAAAGCTAGCAGAAGGCAAGACATAACTAAAATCAGAGCAGAACTGAAGGAAATAGAGACACAAAAAACCCTTCAAAAAATTAATGAATCCAGGAGCTGGTTTTTTGAAAGGATCAACAAAATTGATAGATTTTGTTTATTAGCAAGACTAATTGTTTCTTTATTGGCAAGACTAATAAAGAAAAAAAGAGAAGAATCAAATAGACACACTAAAAAATGATAAAGGGGATATCACCACCGATCCCACAGAAATACAAACTACCATCAGAGAATACTACAAACACCTCTATGCAAATAAACTAGAAAATCTAGAAGAAATGGATAAATTCCTCGACACATACACTCTCCGAAGACTAAACCAGGAAGAAGTTGAATCTCTGAATAGACCAATAACAGGAGCTGGAATTGAGGCAATAATCAATAGCTTACCAACCAAAAAGATTCCAGGACCAGATGGATTCACAGCCGAATTCTACCAGAGGTACAAGGAGGAACTGGTACCATTCCTTCTGAAACTATTCCAATCAATAGAAAAAGAGGGAATCCTCCCTCACTCATTTTATGAGGCCAGCATCATCCTGATACCAACGCCGGGCAGAGACACAACCAAAAAAGAGAATTTTAGACCAATATCCTTGATGAACATTGATGCAAAAATCCTCAATAAAATACTGGCAAACCGAATCCAGCAGCACATCAAAAAGCTTATCCACCATGATCAAGTGGGCTTCATCCCTGGGATGCAAGGCTGGTTCAATATATGCAAATCAATAAATGTAATCCAGCATATAAACAGAACCAAAGACAAAAACCACATGATTATCTCAATAGATGCAGAAAAGGCCTTTGACAAAATTCAACAACACTTCATGCTAAAAACTCTCAATAAATTAGGTATTGATGGGACGTATTTCAAAATAATAAGAGCTATCTATGACAAACCCACAGCCAATATCATACTGAATGGGCAAAAACTGGAAGCATTCCCTTTGAAAACTGGCACAAGACAGGGATGCCCTCTCTCACCACTCCTATTCAACATAGTGTTGGAAGTTCTGGCCAGGGCAATTAGGCAGGAGAAGGAAATAAAGGGTATTCAATTAGGAAAAGAGGAAGTCAAATTGTCCCTGTTTGCAGACGACATGACTGTATATCTAGAAAACCCCATTGTCTCAGCCCAAAATCTCCTTAAGCTGATAAGCAACTTCAGCAAAGTCTCAGGATACAAAATCAATGTACAAAAATCACAAGCATTCTTATACACCAACAACAGACAGAGAGCCAAATCATGAGTGAACTCCCATTCACAATTGCTTCAAAGAGAATAAAATACCTAGGAATCCAATTTACAAGGGATGTGAAGGACCTCTTCAAGGAGAACTACAAACCGCTGCTCAAGGAAATAAAAGAGGATACAAACAAATGGAAGAATATTCCATGCTCATGGGTAGGAAGAATCAATATTGTGAAAATGGCCATACTGCCCAAGGTAATTTACAGATTCAATGCCATCCCCATCAAGCTACCAATGACTTTCTTCACAGAATTGGAAAAAACTACTTTAAAGTTCATATGGAACCAAAAAAGAGCCCGCATTGCCAAGTCAATCCTAAGCCAAAAGAACAAAGCTGGAGGCATCACACTACCTGACTTCAAACTATACTACAAGGCTACAGTAACCAAAACAGCATGGTACTGGTACCAAAACAGAGATATAGATCAATGGAACAGAACAGAGCCCTCAGAAATCATGCCGCATATCTACAACTATCTGATCTTTGACAAACCTGAGAAAAACAAGCAACGGGGAAAGGATTCCCTATTTAATAAATGGTGCTGGGAAAACTGGCTAGCCATATGTAGAAAGCTGAAACTGGATCCCTTCCTTACACCTTATACAAAAATCAATTCAAGATGGATTAAAGACTTAAACGTTAGACCTAAAACCATAAAAACCCTAGAAGAAAACCTAGGCATTACCATTCAAGACATAGACATGGGCAAGGACTTCATGTCTAAAACACCAAAAGCAATGGCAACAAAAGCCAAAATTGACAAATGGGATCTAATTAAACTAAAAGAGCTTCTGCACAGCAAAAGAAACTACCATCAGAGTGAACAGGCAACCTACAAAATGGGAGAAAATTTTCACAACCTACTCATCTGACAAAGGGCTAATATCCAGAATCTACAATGAACTCAACAAATTTACAAGAAAAAAACAAACAACCCCATCAAAAAGTGGGCAAAGGACATGAACAGACACTTTTCAAAAGAAGACATTTATGCAGCCAAAAAACACATGAAAAAATGCTCACCATCACTGGCCATTAGAGAAATGCAAATCAAAACCACAATGAGATACCATCTCACACCAGTTAGAATGGCAATCATTAAAAAGTCAGGAAACAACAGGTGCTGGAGAGGATATGGAGAAATAGGAACACTTTTAGACTGTTGGTGGGACTGTAAACTAGTTCAACCATTGTGGAAGTCAGTGTGGCGATTCCTCAGGGATATAGAACTAGAAATACCATTTGACCCAGCCATCCCATTACTGGGTATATACCCAAAGGACTATAAATCATGCTGCTATAAAGACACATGCACACGTATGTTTATTGAGGCACTATTCACAATAGCAAAGACTTGGAACCAACCCAAATGTCCAACAATGATAGACTGGATTAAGAAAATGTGGCACATATACACCATGGAATACTATGCAGCCATAAAAAATGATGAGTTCATGTCCTTTGTAGGGACATGGATGAAATTGGAAATCATCATTCTTAGTAAACTATCGCAAGAACAAAAAACTAAGCACCACATGTTCTCACTCATAGGTGGGAATTGAACAATGAGAACACATGGACACAGAAAGGGGAACATCACACTCTGGGGACTGTTGTGGGGTGGGGGGAGGGGGGAGGGATAGCACTGGGAGATATACCTAATGCTAGATGAGGAGTCAGTGGGTGCAGTGCACCAGCATGGCACATGTATACATATGTATCTAACCTGCACATTGTGCACATGTACCCTAAAACTTAAAGTATAATAATAATAAAAAAAAAGCAAAAATTAAAAAAAAAAAAAAGAAAATCTCTTAAATCGTCCACTTGGTGTAGCCTATGTGGCCCTGTGCATACAACCTTATAAGGTAATAGGGAAAAAGAAACACATAATCTGCAATGTACAATATAAACAAAATACATGTAAAAGCTAGTTTTTTGGCTTTATTTAAGTTTTTTTTCCTTTTTCTTTCAGGACTCGTATTACTGAATTTACATACATTAAGTGCACATATGCTGCCATGGTTCCAATGCACTCAATTAATGTTTGCTAGAAGAAAGAAAAGGAATGGCAATTCCCAAGGGGTGTTTACATTTGTCCACTGGCCTCCAGCTCCTGCAGGGGCTTGGCAGACATAGGTGGCCCAGGAGTACATAGGATTGTAAGGAACTAGTGGACTCTAAGCCATGCTGCTTAGGACTAGAAGATGGATTCCCCCAGCTGCTGGGCACACTGCCAGCTGTCAGTCCTCAGATGTCAGCTCTTGCAGGGAACTGCCCTTGGCTAAAGAGAACAGCCTCACCCAAGGACATCCAATGACTGGTCCATTCTAGAGTACATATGCACAGCTGCTTCCCAAACTTGAGACAACTCTTCAGGGCCATCTGAGCTGCAGAGCCTCCATGGGGTCAGCTGAGGCCTTGTAGTGTCTGTACCATAGCCCAACTTTAAAAGCTGCCTAAATCTACTTCCTCCTCTCCCTGAAAGTATACCTACAGCATGCTGAGGACCCTGGCCTGAAAGAAGTGGCTACCCTAGGTCAAGAGGGTAGGAGGTCCCAGAGTCCGGGAAAAAATGGGCATGGGCAGGCAGGTACCAAGAATAAGAGCAGACAGGGTCCAGAACGCAGGGGATCAGAGAGAAGATGCAGGCAGATAGCACTTGAGTGCTGCTAACAGAAGGGAAGTTGTTTATCTCCTGCCCAGTGGGAAGTTGCCTATAGGGGAGGGAAATTCTTGGCCTGCAGGGGAGGCCTGGCTCTGAAGGAGGTCACTAGGCCATGCTGAAACCCCTCCGCCTCCCTCTCAAACCTGACAACAAGCATCCCACCTCCCACTCCCCACTCGCCAAGTGGCCTCCATCACTGGGGTTGATAAGTGTCTTTCTGGGCAGCCATCAACCTGGTGACATCTGGACTTTACCTAAAGACCTCCTTCACCCTCAAACACCTCAATCTCTTTGCCTCAGGTTCTCCCAGGGAGCCTGATTTCCCATGAGCAGATATTTCTCTTGGATTAGAAGTCCCTGTTAAAATATAATGTACCGTAAATTAAGTCGAGATAACATATCAAGCCAGGGTTATTATAGCTCATGTTAGCTGGGAGAGGTAGGAGAAGGAAATGAAAGGCTAAGATGAGGGGCTATGGAGGAAAGTTTTGGGTGAGATGCTAAGGTGGTAATGGTAGTGGGGTCAACACAAGAGCACCGAGGTCAGGGGGGCAACAAGCAGGTTGCTTCTAGAATAAAGGACAAAATCTCCAAATCCAACCAATTGCTTCCCAATGGAGCAACAAGCTGGTTGTACCCTTAATTGGGACCACTCCATTACGCAGCACCAGGGCATTCCTGTGTTGGCCTTGGTCCCTGACTGTTACGCCAAAGCTGTAAGGTGCTGGGGCAGGTGTGGGAAGTGGGTGGGCAGAAGAGATTTCTATTAATAATAGGATTACAAATTTACTGAGGAGGCCCCAGACTTGCCATAAGCTTTGTGAGCAGTCAGGGACTTTCCAGATAATATTTCATTGTTCTGCAAGTGCAACTCATCAAAACAACCGTTTCAATTCCTTCATCTCCTTCCAGTAACCACTGCTCACCTGTAACAAAGGAAGCTGGGTGCACTGTCAGCCTATAGGCTTGACATCAGACAACGCGCCCAGGCCTTCCTCAGCAGGCTGTTGTGGACTGAGCTCTGAGAAACGGGCTCATTTTCGCCTTTGGGATATACTTTTATCCACTAGTTGCCCCAACTGCTTCCTGAGTATTGCCCTGCCTGGTAATTTTTCTCTCCTCTCGCTTTTGCCTGGTGCCTGCCGTGGAGGTAATGGACAGGCAACCTCCTTGTAGTGTGCATTCCTGTACTGTTGAGGCTAAATGGCTAATTTCTATCTCCTGGCGTTCCAGGAGGTTGTGGCTGTGGATGAGACTTCGGTCCTGTCAGTTAGATGCACTTGTGTGCACTCCGGACAGAGGAAATGGGGCAGGCCCATCTTTCTGCTGCCTAGGCTGCTGGAAGCTGGGTTGCTGAGCACCACAGTCCTTAACTCTGGTTCTGTGGGGCTCTCTCATTCCTGGATCATGCTATGACTGTGTTTTCTTAACCTCGGTGTTCCAGGGCAGGCCGCTTCTCCATCTTCCTGCTTGAGGAAGAGGCAGCAGCCCCTCCTCAGGGCCAGCCCTGTGGTCTTGTTCTAGGAATCTTTCCAGGAACATTCCTTCAACCCGCCGATGATTTTGTGAGCGCCTAATTCCTAATAGTCATTTTTTGGGTCTGTTTTAAACAGCTGATGTTTTCAGTTTTCTGCAGCTGGACCTCGCCTGATACCCCTTTTTATAGATTTACATGTACTTTTCAGCTGTAGAAGCATCTGGTTTCAAACATTTCCCCAAAGAAGCCCTCTGGAGTGAGAACTAATGACTGTGATCGCCTCTTTGAGATGCACCAATGAATCAACCATCCTTCTTAACATTTTCAAACCCACTGCCCACATTTTAGGGTCTGAGCCCACAGGACTGGCAACTACCTCCAGTGCATGGAACTTCAGACAAGCTGCTAGAGGGAAACTAAGAGAAGTAGTTTGTAAAAGTCCCTACTTCATTCATTTTCAAAGTTATAATTCAAACAATAAATTTCAGAGTCTCCCTCATAGCCAAGGCACATAGCTGGCTCCTTTCCTGCCACGGATTTTTAAACTCCAAAAACAGATCAATGTTGAAGAGGTGCATTTTTCTTTCTGGGGGATGATTTAATGATTACTTACCTTTTGGAAGCAAAGGTTTCGTATCCACATACTGGGGTAAATAATTTGGCTGATAAAGGAAAAATCACTTCGGTCTTTATTCTGCCTGAGAATCATATTTACAGCATTTTTTTTTTCTTTTCCTTACTGCTTCATTATTTTCCACATGACTTTCATTCAGAAAATAACATTTTAAAAATACTTTGAAATAGAGATATTTTTGCTTTTACACATTAGGCTGACATTTTCTTTTCTACCTGCTTTATACATAGGGATGAATTAAGTTCAATGCCAAAGTTGGTTTAATAATATGATCTGGTCTTTTGGGAGTTTGGAGCATCTTGTGAAAATAACACATCCCTCTAATGGGAATGTGTCCTTCTAGAATATTACTACCAAGTGAGGTATTGTTAGTGCCGGGAGTGTACTACATCCCTTAGCTGAAAGAGTGACCAAAAGGTTGAAGATTGTTGCTGTAAAACGCAGTGATCCCAAACCCCTTGGAGCTAAGGGTCTCCCTTCTATAGGCCCTAATAACTCTTGTTCTATGGGAAAATTGTGCAACAATCCATGCTGCTACAGTCCTGGTGCTAAGATTTGCCTGTGTAGCACGTATTTGCTTATTTATGCATTTATTCATTTATTTTTACATTCAGGCTTTTCCTTTGGGACTCCAGTCATCTTTCAAAAAACGTAAAATTAAATCAATCTCCCAGTGCTTTTGCTTCTACGGTGTCAAGGTTCCCCAACCTGGCAGAAAGGACTGGATATTTTGGCAGGGCTTCTAGATCCCCAGACCCAGTGGGAAGAATGACATGTTTCCAATTGAATGACCGGCTCACTGCTGTGCTAATGGATTCTTTTGCCAGAAGCGCTCTGGTAATTTTAGAAAATCAAGAGCTTAGAAAATGAATGTATTGTTTAAAACTATGACTCACTTTTTTTTTTCTACTTTATTTGCTGGTCCATGTTTTGCTTGTGTGAGTTATTCATGTAAGAATGCTTGTGAGCCCTGACATCTAGCTTCTTCCAGAGGTTCAAAAATATAGGATACGGATTATATTACGTAAGGATAGATGTATAGTGAGGAAGGATGAATACAGAGGCCATATTGCATGGTGGTTAAGGGGAGGGGCTCTGTGGCTGGGTAGGCAAATTATATAACTGGCCTCAGTTTCTTCATCCATACAATGGGCATAATGAAAGCATCTACTTGGCTGGTAACTATGCAAATGCAATGAGATAATACACATGAAAAGACTAGAATAGGGCTTGGTCTATAGTGAGCAGTTGGTAAATATTAGACACTTTTCATATGATTAGTATAAAAAGCACAAGAGGAGATATAGGTAAGCAATTTCATTCTTACAGTCAATAGTCTAAATTCTTAAAGCCATTCCCTAGATGATCATTTTTCTCTGAAGGGAGCTTATCATCATATTTTTGAGATCACATGCACTTCTCAAAGCAGTATCTATTTTAAAGAAGTCTATTAGAATAAAGCAGGCTTCCCCTAAAGTAACATGTACTTGGTATACTTATACATGTCTGTAAGGGTGAGCAATCTCCTCCTAAAAATTATCTGTCTCTTTCTATTGTTCTAGGTAAGTTGCTAACATGACATTCCACAGATGCTAAGTGAGTGCTGCAAGTCATGTCACTGTGGTTAAAAAACGATCTGCAATGTTCTCTTTTTAAGGTTATTAGGGAAACCTCTGACCCATTTCCTCAAAACTGTCAAGGTGTCTTTGCCTACAATCTCACTAAAAAACCCTATTAATGCCAATCTTGAAATAAATTGAGAATCCTACTGTGTCTCAGATGCCTGAGCAGGTGAAAAAGTTCCCAAACTAAATAAGCATCGAGGAAGAAGGTTCACTGTTGGTGGGGAAAGATTAACTGGAAGCTTCCAATGCCTGATTTTTAATCACAGGCTGATTATCAAATTGCTGAATGAATTTCGCATAGGAAATATTTTTTTATAAGGAGAAAAATTAACATTGAATAATTTAACCTAGTGGAAAAATAAAAGATTTGCCCAAAGCATCTATAATTTATAAAACTAAACTACCAAACTGTTTTATGAAAAAGGAAAAAGAAACAAAAGATAAGGGTAACACTACTAACACAAACATCAAGTTTAAATATAAGGAAGGTGATTAGAAATTCAAATTAGGTAGAATATCTCTGTTTTTAATTGGACCATTAAAAAATCCCATTTTAAGGTTTTGTGGCAAAAGATGACTAATCCTGAGGGAGAAAAATATTGTTGCTTTCCAATTAGCATGGTATATTTTAAAAACCAAGTGTCAAACTACAACTTCTTAAATTATAACATAAGTTTATCTAGATATATTTGAATTATAACTCTTATTAAAGAAAAAATTTTATTTGTATTTAGAGAAACATTTTAGGGGAATGGGAAGGAAACACTGTTCACAAACCTAGGTGTAGATTCAAGATCATGTGAAATGCTGGGGCAGGGTGAGGCATTACTGTACCTCTCAGCACAGGACAATTCACCTGAGCTCATGGGTCCAAGGACAAGTCACAGGGTGCAGGGTACCGGAGATGAGGCACCAAATTGCAACTCCTCATCTGGGGAAATCTGACGGGATTAAAATAATTTCTGCAGCTTGGTCACGTCACTGAACATAAGCATGTGCTTTGTCACATGAAATTATCAAACCGCCCTGTTGGACATCTCATTGTTTCCATGGCATACCGAGGAGTTATGAAATCAGGAACAAATCCAGCTTTTCAATATCGCTATGAATTAAAAGAAGCCTGTGTTCAAGTGAATTCTAACCCATGGCCGTGGTCCCTGCTGAATTTCTAAGGACAGAGGGGAAAATAAATTAAGGGCATTTAGAATATCCATTGAGTTTAAAGTCCGTAATGTGCTATTCATAACATGGCACAATTCGGAAATCGTGATCCTTTTAGCAATAATCTGTTACTCTGACACATTCCAAGTAGTCCTACTTTGCAAAATAGGTAATAAAAAAATAGAAAACATTTTAGTGCTTTTTAAAATTCCACAAATATGTGGTAAACCAAAACACAGTGGGATGCCCTATCCCCCTTGCCTTCAGGGGAAAGGAAAGCTTGTATTTACCCAGCCCACCAGAGACTCACATCGTATCCGCTGTTGCGGATTCCACGCCGGGGTCGCTCCCGAGTCACCAGAAGGTCCATCTCGGTTTCCCCTGGACTCGGGCTGTTCAGAGACTGCCGGCTTCTGTAGACAGAGTTCTTCATCTGTTGCCTGAAGAAAATTCAACAACTGTTATGATGCAGCAAATGCCCTGACAGATGGAATTCTCCACTGATCCAAAGTACAGGCAACCAATGAAGGGTTTGGATTTGCCTCACAAATCTCAGAATTGATGGCATTTATTCCCAGGATATAAGGGGCTGTAGAAAGAGTGAAATAAAGATTTTTTTTTTTCCAGATGCTGTAATCATTTGGCTGAATTGTTAAGTGTTCTTTCATATGGAAACTAGGTAACTACAGTCAATTGCAACATTGCAACCTCATTTAAAATTCTGCTGATGGCAAGACCAGGGGTTCTCCCTTGACCCTCTAGGACAGCTAACGCTGATGGGAACAAACTTGCCTTTGTTGACTTTGTTGACTCAGCAACCTCCTGTTCCTTTTACTCTTTCTGGTTTCACACGCAGGATTCTATGATGTGTTAATAAACCCTGTAGCTAGTGGGCTGCTTAACATTATGACTGTGGATAGATTTCTTTTCTGCTATTACCACAGTAGATTTCCTTCCGGACTAAGAAGCCATAAACCCAGATGTAATTTGGGGCTTATCCATTCATCCACCCTCACATCCACCCACCCACCTATCCATCCATCCATCCATCCATCCGTCCATCCGTCCATCCATCCACATCTATCCATCCACCTACCTACCCATCTGTCCATCCGTCCATCCATCCATCCACCCACCTACCTATCCATCCATCCATCCATCCATCCATCCATCCATCCATCCACCGAGGCTTCCATCATTTACCGAATGCCTACTATGTGCCAGGCACCATGGAAGATGATGAACATCCACAGTGAACAAAACAGATTATGGCCCCTCCTCTCCTAGAGATTACATCCTAATGAGAGAGACAGATAATTAACATGGTAATTTCAGAGTGATAAGTGCTATTAAGCTGTGACAAACGGGGACTAGGATGGGAGACAACTTTAGATAGGATGATCAGGGAAGGCCTCTCTGGGGAGGTGACAATTCAGCTGAGTCCTAAGTGGAGCCAGTCACACATTGATCTGGGCACAGAGCATTTCAGGCCCAGGGAGTGGCACATTCAGGGACTCCACTCAGCTACTGCTAAAAAATTCATACATTTGTCACCCCTGTATTGTCTCCACTTGTCATTAGAAAAATCTTTTCAAAGAGTGGGAAGTAAATAGCAACATAGTGAGGAGATTGGCTATGCTTTTCTTCTTCCACAAGAGGTAATTTTACAAGTGGGGGTGAGGCTTATTGGGGACAAGTGAGTTCCACACGATCCTGCAAGGTGGCAAAGGGATAGCACTTCCTTCTCACCCAGCTATAAGTCTCCCTGTGATTAACTTGCATTCTAAGACTATCTATCTTCAGAAAACTCTCCAAACATTCCTTTTTTTTTTTTTTTTTGATAGAATCTCAATCTGTCACCCTGGCTGGAGTGCAGCGGTATAACCTCACTGCAGCCTTGACCTCCTTGGATTAGGTGATCCTTCCATCTCACCCTCCTGAGTAGCTGGGTCTACAGGCACATACCACAAAGCTAGGCTAATTTTTTTGTAATTTTTGTAGAGACAGGGTTTCACCATGTTGCCCAGGCTGGTCTCGAATTCTGGGGCTCAAGAGATCTGCCCACCTCAGCCTCCCAAAGTGCTGCGATTACAGGTGTGAGCCTCCGTGCCCGCCAACACCGCCTATGTAGTGTCTCTATTCTAAGATTCTAGCTATTCATGGGTTGAAGGTGAAGAGACTGTATTATTTCTTCCCAGTGACTATGTGGGAAGCCCCAGAAACCTGGCAGGCTTACACATTTTTTTTCATAGACACACAGTAAGTTAGTCACAGAATTACAATCATACATAGTCTAGGAGAGGCAGTAGAATTCTAAGGCAAAGCATTACCCTTGCCATTAGCCTTGGGAATACAGCAGACACCACTGGTTCTAGACCTTCACCATGAAGAGCTTATACCTGCTCAAAGAGCATCTGTTGCCTTTGCTTGCCTATTACCTGTGATAACCTTCCTTTGGTAAGAGCATCATGATGTCACTTGGGGGCTCCCTTTCCTCCAGGGGTAGGCATGTGATTCAGGCTGGACCAATCCCAGCATCACATCCCCATGGCCACAGTGATGGGTCAGGGGCTGGGCATCTGACCTGAGTTGTTCTGGTGGGACTGAGTCTCAGGGCTTTTGCTAGGGAAACTAGGAAAGAGGCGTTCTCTTGGTATTGGGGTTTCTAAGAAGATAGGATATATGCCAGGAGTTGCTGGCAGCCGGTTTGTCACCATGAGGTAAGAGCCTGCCTGAAAATGGGGGCAGCAGAGAGTGAAAAGAGAGCAAGATCTAACATAGGAGACATCATCTGACCCCTGGATCCAGCCAAGCCGAAGCCTGGACCTTTCAATAATGCTCAATAATATATTCCCCTTTTATTTAACCAGTTTGTGCTGGATTTCCATCATTTGCAGCCCAAAGAAGTCTGACTAACTCTAATAACGGCACTCACAAGCTAATAGTATAAACTGTGCCCTATAGCTATCTGCAATTAGAGGCTTCCTTTAGGGAAGCACAACCTCAGTGAGCTGTTGAAACAATCTGCTCCTAGTGATTCACACCTTCTGCAGACTCGAGAGGAATTCTCATCCTTGACCTAATTACACATCGTTTTTGGGAAAAGGCAGACTTTACAACTGTCTTGAGATTATCAATTAGCCCATTTAGAAAAGATTTACTAATAAGGGTGGTGGTGGAGTAAATACTAAGATTAGCAATTGACACTTAAGTAGGTTATTTTGCAAGTGTTAGAAGTACAATAGCGAGAGTGTGTAAGCCCTGTCAAGAACTGTAAATGTAGGTAAAAGTGTCGACATTGAAGTGTATACCAGTCTACTTTTGTCTCGGAGGCAACATCCCCTTAAAATATACAGCTTAAAGGCTGCTGTTTAACATGGATTTCAATTTCCAGACCACCAATGCAGGCCTGGTGTGCAAGCATCTATGTAAAAATAAATTAGACTCTCAGGTAGAGAAATTACCTGTTTTAATAAGATAGCATCCCATTAGGTATATTCATTTCTTGTTGATATTTTGCTATATACTTTTTAAAGGCAATACATTTTGAAGCATACAAACTTGAGAAGTAAGTTTCTTACCTCTGAAAATACTGCTGGGTGGGTAATGATGAGTTTTACTTGCTGGTTAATCCCAATACAGTTTAAGAAAGTAACTCTCAAATTATGTTCTCTTTCTATGGAACCCTGGGGTTCCACAGAGATGGCCTGGAAAGGACTGAGGAGCGGGAGGAGGCCCAGCTTCCATCAGAGCAACTCCATCTTTATATATTATTACCTTACGTGGGGTTCCCTAGAAGCAGGTTCTAGAATGATTTGAGTGTAAGTCATTTATTTGGGAGGTGGCTCCAGGAAGCACTAGCTGGGGAGTGGGGAAATGACAGAGGGAAGGAAGGAAAATCAATAAAGGGTATGATATGGAGTAGATTTGTGTTTTGGGTAACGGAGGCTCAAGCCCACTGGAAAAGTGTGGGAGACAGTTGTTTTAAAAGGTAGGTTTTATTATTTAGGTATGGCATGGCCAATAGATCAGGACAAGACTGCCATTAAAAATATAGCTTGAGGCCCGGCACTGTGGCTCATGCCTGTAATCCCAGCAATTTGGGAGGCTGAGGCAAGCCAATCAAGAGGTCAGGAGATTGAGACCATCCTGCCCAACATGGTGAAACCCCGTCTCTATTAAAAATACAAAAATTAGCTGGGCGTGGTGGCGCGTGCCTGTAATCCCAGCTACTTGGGAAGCTGAGGCAGGAGAATCACTTGGACCAGGGAGTCAGAGGTTGCAGTGAGCCGAGATAGCGCCACAGCACTCCAGCCTG
Organism: Homo sapiens; assembly: GCF_000001405.40. Lineage (NCBI taxonomy): Eukaryota > Metazoa > Chordata > Mammalia > Primates > Hominidae > Homo > Homo sapiens. The sequence continues at coordinate 33,614,654 of NC_000011.10, read as the reverse complement.
GCAACAGAGGGAGACTCCATCTCCCCCAGCCCCTACACCAAAAAAAAAAAAAAAAAAAAAAAAAAAAAAATATATATATATATATATATATATATATATATATATATATATATATATATATATCTTGTTACACTCACAGATCCCAAGAGGAGGGAACAGGCCATACCACAGGGGAGTGTGACTAATTTTGATTGAATACTTTTGGCAGATTCTGGGGCACAAGGGCTGTCCTGAGTTGTCTGGTACCTGGCCCTGGGGTAATCAGGGCAGACAGACAGTGACTCAGGGTGGAGAGCCCTGTGAGACCATATAGAGCAGGCAGTTCATGTTTGGCCTCTGCACTGGCTGCTTTGCACATGAAAGGCATGTCTGCCAGTGAGTCCTTTACTAGCCTGGGGAGGACAGTAGCCTGGGAAGGACAGTTTCTCTGGGGTCAGCAAGGCCCCAGATGTCCAAATCATCAAATATAGAAACTAGAAAATGTAGTTATTGCAACAGTGTAACTTACGCTTCCAGTTCCCTTGCCAGGGGTATTTATCCATCAGTTTCCATCTGTTACAAACTGAGGATGCTCCACAGTGTCTTAACTACATGACACTTCTGGTTGGTGGCTGCCGAGAAAAAGCCTTTAAGTTGGAGTCACAGATGCCTGTAGCAAGTAGGATGCTGCTGGCCTGGACAGGCTCAGGGAGAGCTGAGGGCATGGACTGGGGCCGCCAACAGCAACCATCTCAATTATGTTATGTACTTTGTGTCTCTGGGTAAGAGTTTATAATGTAAAAATGAAGTGTTCTGATTTTTTTAAGGCTCTGAAAATGATTTTAAAAGATTTAGTGATGAGTCAACATTTGGAACCTAAACTTTGTCTTTTATTTGATTTAATTTAGGTCTTAAGGTAAAATTCTGGTTACTGATTGATCTAGTTTGGATATTTGTCTCCACCCATATCTCATGTTGAAATGTAATCCCCAGTGTTGGAGGTGGGGCCTGGTGGGAGGTGACTGGATCATGGGGGTGGATCCCTCATGGGTTGGTGCTGTCCCTGTGACAATGAGTTCTCGCGACATCTGGTTGTTTAAGAGTGTATGGCATCTCCCTGCCCCAGATCTCTTTTGCTTCTGCTTTTCCTTCCACCATGAGTAAAAGCTCCTTGAGGCCTAAGAAGATGCTGGTGCTTTGCTTCCACAGCCTGCAGAACTGTGAGCCAATTAAACCTCTTTTCTTTATAAATTACCCAGTCTCCTTTTCAAAAGAAGATATACATGTGGCCAACAAGCATATGAAAAAAGCTCAGTATCACTGATCACAAGAGAAACGCAAATCAAAACCAAAATGAGGTACCATCTCATACCAGTAAGAATGGCTATGATTAAAAAGTCAAAAAATAGTAGATGCTGGTGAGGTTACAGGAAAAAGGGAACTCTTATACACTGTTGGTGGGAGTGTAAATTAGTTCAACCATTGTGGAAAGCAGTATGGCAATTCCTTAAAGAGCTAAGAACAGAACTACCATTTGAGCCAGCAATTCCATTACTATTATATACCCAGAGGAACAGAAATCATTCCACCATAAAGACACATGCATGAGAATGTTCACTGCTGCACTGTTCACAATTGCAAAGATATGGAATCAACCTAAATGCCCATAAATGACAGACTGGATGAAAAAAAATGTGATACATATACACCATGGAATACTATACAGCCATAATAAAGAACAAGATCATGTCTTTTGCAGAAACATGGATGGAGTTGGAGGCTATTATCCTTAGCAAACTAATACAGGAACAGAAAACCAAATACCATATGTTCTCACTTATAAGTGGGTGCTAAATGATGAGAATTCATGAATATAAATGGAACAACCGACACTGGGGTATACTTCAGGGTGTAGGGTAAAAGGAGGGAGAGGGCAGAAAAAATAATTATTGGCTAATAGGTTTAATACCTGAGTGATGAAATAATCCATACAACCAACCCCATGACAGAAGTTTATCGATATAACAAACCTGCACATGTAACTTCAAACCTAAAAGAAAAGAAAAAAAAAAAAAACTACCCAGTCTCAGGTATTTTTTATAGCAATGCAAGAATGGTTGGCTGGGCGCAGTGGCTCACGCCTGTAATCCCAGCACTCTGGAAGGCCAAGGCAGGAGGACTGCTTGAGCCCAGGAGTTTGAGACCAGCCTGAGCAACATGGCAAAACCCCATCTCTACAAAAATAAAAAAATAAAAAGAGACTGGCCTAATACACTGATGCTACCTCTGGACTAGAGCATGATTCCTTCACTTGTCCTGCTGTGGCTTGGTCACTGAAAGCAGAACCTCTGGAGGGTTATACTGTGAACAGTAATTAACAGGTAACTCTAACCTGTGATAGCAGATAAACAGTCAGCAGTCTCTGGAGTCAACAGCAGAGTGTGTCAAGAATAATACCTCTGAGCTTACCGAGGTTGTCACTCTCTTTTTTCTGTCTGTCCCTCCCCATTCTCATCTCTGGCTGATCCTCTCTCCATTCCTATTCCTAGCTCACCCAGTTTATGGCTCTCCATTATTTTCCCCTTAACTGGTCAAAAATGTTTTAAAAGTTGTTTTTGGTGCTTTATGATCATGAAACCATTTATTCAATGAACATTTGCTGAGAATTAGCTACAATACACGTGGCATTAGCAGGTCATCAAAAGGCCCCAAGAATCTGGCCTGCACCTGTGCTAGGCAGAGGTGATGCCTCTCTACAGAAACAAGTTTGGTTCATTCTTCATTCATTCTCTTTTCATAAAAAGCCTTAACTGAAATTTTTGTTTCTCAAGTAACTTCCTAAGTTTCTTTAATTTGTACATGAAAATGATTATGTTAACACAATTCATAAAATTTAGCCCCACCTCTCACCTTGATTTCGTGGCTTTGATTCATTTTCCCTGAGTGTCAGCATGAAATCCAGGAAAAACAGCTCCCATCCCAGCTCCTATCCCAAAGACCACTGAAGTAAAACTCCCTGAAGTACAAAATAAAAGCTAAAGAACCAATCAGCCTCCCTATAAACTCCCCAACTTTTTTCTTTTTTTTCTACAGGTATTAACACAGTGACACATGCATTGTGAACCCTGTCATGGTGTGATTTGATATCAATAGCTTGTCATACCAACAAAGCCTAATTAGAAGCATGGTAAATTAAGCACTGGTTGAGAATTTCCTCTTTTCTTTATTGAAAATAAATTATGTTGATCCAATTCATAAAATTCAGCCCCACCTCCCAGCTTGATTCTGTGGCTTTGATCCAAGCCTGTCACAAAGTCATTTTTGCTTTTAATAAGTACTTACTCAGGCCAGAAACTGCCCTATGGCTCCCCAGTCTGTGGAGAATGTGTCTGTCATGGCTCTGTGGCATGTCGGGGTGGGAGCATGCTCAAGGCCAGAGGGAAGTCACCAAGGAGACTGTGTATGGGAAAGAGGTGGCCTCAAATCATGAAAGTGCTTCAGGTAGGTGGGAAAGGAAGAAAGGTGGACATGTTTGGGTTCACTAACCTCTGCCTTTGACCGTGCATGTGAAATCACTCTGCTTAGTCAGCAACAAAGCTTGGAAGGCTGCAGCCATGGTTGAATGTTTTTCCCCTCCAAACCTCATGTTGAAATTTGGTTCCTGTCATGGTGGTGTCAGGAGGTGGGACATTTGGGAGGTGACAGGGCCATGAGGGCTCCTCCTCATGGGTGGCATTATTTGGCCTGCTCTTGCTCTCTCTTTGCCCTCTGCCTTCTGCCATGGGATGATGCAGCAAGGAGGCCCTGCCAGATGCTGGCACCTTGATCTTGGACTTCCCAGCCTCCAGAACTGTGAGAAAATATGTTTCTGTTCATTACAAATTACCCAGTCTCAGGTATTCTGTTATAGCAGCACAAAAAGAACTAAGACAGATGCCAATTTAAACCATCTGGCTTAGCCCTTCCTTGCTGGGACAGGACTCCCTTTTAGATCGTTACAGCACCTCATACTTCAAACACCTACCACACTTGTCATTAATAAACTTTTGGGGTGATTCTTTCTCTCCCATTAGACCCTAAGTTCCATAAGAGCAGCAATAGGACTGTCTTGTCCACAATTAAATGTTGAAGGAATTTGAATTGAATGAATGAATAAGCCCACATGAGCATGACAGCATTCAGCATCTTGAATGGTACCTAATACATAGCAGGTGACAATATATGTCGAATAAATGAACAAGTCTGTGAATGAATGAGATAAACCAGCATGGAGCTCTGAGCACCTGTGCAGTAAGTACTTACTGAGGCTGAATGAAAAGGTGCAGCATGAAATTTGGTTTTCTTATGCAAGAGCCTCTAAAACAATTGAACAATACAATGTCCCTTGATCTGGAAGTTGCACCATTAGGTAGGTGATAATTATAATCTTCATTCAGCTCTGAAAAAGCAACTGGTTTGAAAATACCATTAAGCTGATGGACAATTATGGTTGTTTGCCCAAGTATTTTTTTTTTTAATGGCTTTAATGTTACTCTCTTTCAGACTCATTATAGAGCACCTGCTTGCACAGACCAGCGTGGTACAAATCAGTGGACTGCAAAGATCACAATCCTACAGTACCAGATAAGGAACCAGGATATACTGCCCAAGGCCTGCCCTTATCCCACCAATGATACAGCACCCTTTACAGAATCCCTTAGAGACTGCACCTGTTTTTAGACTCGGTGAATGGAGCACAGAGTTCTGAATCTGGATCCAAAACATGCTCCATTTCCTTCGGGGCTTTTTCATACATCTTCTTTCTTTCGGTCAGACCCTTGCTCGTCTCCACTGCAGGGAAGTCGTAATATCCCTTCCTCTTGGCTTTGAGGCGCAGCTTGTTCCGATAGTGCTCGATGTCTGACTTCTGCTTCAGGGCTTTGTTCACCTGGGGAGAGAGGCAGTCTCAGGCCCAAACCTGACCCAGTGGGGCCGGCAGGTGGGAGACTTTCACCAGGAGGTTATCACTTCTAAAAAAGCCATCACAGGCATCACCTCCGGGCCTCTGAGCTAGCCAGGCCCACCTGCATCCCATTCTGAGACAAGCCCACAACAGTAGACTATAGATACTGTGGAGCCTGGCACTCACCTGAATCACCTGAGACCTTCCTCCAAGGCCTCCTTCTCCCTAGTCTGTCCTGTCTCTGTTCAGGCCTAGGCCTGACTCCGTGCTCTTAGCAATGTGGCTCGGCCTTAATTATGCCTATACCCTTTTGGTTCCTCTGTGTGGGTGCCTCCGCCAGTTCTCAGTGCCCTGAGTCTAGCTCCAGTCCTGGGGAACCCAGTGGCCTTCGCTGCCCTTCAGCTGGTGTCCAGCTAGATAAGAGAGCAAGTTCCTGAAGAGGCTGAGCTGGGACGGACAGGGTGGAAGGGGAAGCAGCTGCTCCCAATGCCTTTCCACACTGTCAACCTGCATCTGACAGCATGTTTTTGTAAATCCATGCCTTTCTTGAGAGATATGTAATTTTGAAGCCTTGTATGGCCACTAACATGAACCAGGTCCTGCCCTATAGGGCAAAGGCAGTCTGGTCTTTCAGAAGGGAACGTGGCTAATGTACCTTGCAAACTGTTGGAGATATAAGCAGGTGACTGTGCTAAATAAGTAACAAGTGATGAGAATGTCACACCAACGTTTCCGAACTTTCTGTTTTTATTATGCTTTCTTAAAAATAATCTTTAAAAGAATGTCGTGTAATTTACAAAAGAAAAACGTATGGCTTCTGGGTTGTGCTTTCTTCATTTAAACCAGCCACCCACAATAGAAGGAGGAAGAAAATTACAAGACAATCTGTGTCAGGCTCCACAAGGCAGCAAATTATAGAGAACAGTTCAGGGCTCTCTTCCAATCCAAATGCCAGCAAGGTCCATTCCTTTAACTACCAAAATACAGCATCCATTTCTGGACAAGGAAGATGCTGATTTGCTCTCCTTCTTTGACAAGGTGATGGGCCTGGGAGGAAAAGGGGGTGATAAATTGAATCTATCCCAGATTTGGAATCTGTCTCTATGACATGCACATCATTAAGCTGGGATGAAAAGATCCAGGCCTAGTGGCCATCACATGTATCCATAACTGAGCAGAGGGTCCAAATCAACAGCAGTTATCAATGCATTAGTGTCAACCTCAGAGGCCTCTAATTATGGGGTTTGCATGTCTGCTGGCAGAATTGTGCCCAAGAGAAAATTCAGTGACTGTGACTGGTTTTGAGAAGACATTCAGATTCTCAAATTGTAGAGCCAAGGGGCATAAAATACATGATCTTTCTTCACTGGCTGTCTAATGGGTGGTGATAACAACAACAGTAATAATAATAATCATCATCATCATTATCATCATCATCAAAGTGCTTATTGTGTGCCAGGCACTAGTCTAAGTAATTTACATATATTAAACAATTTGATCTTCACAGCAGCCCTATTTTATAAACGGAGATACTGAGGCACAGAGAAATGAACTAACATGCTTAAGGTCACACAGTAAGTAAAAGATCTGAGGCTCAAACCCCTGAGGCATGGCTTGAGAATCCATACTCTTTTAAGCACAATGCTATTATTCTCTGGTAGGCTGTAGTAAGTAAAAGAGAGGAAAGGAGCGCTGGACAGGAAGTCAGGGGACCTCAACCTCATGGCTGTCACCATAACCTGCCGTGTGACTTTGAACAAGCCACTGGACCCCTCAAGCTTCAGCTTCTTGGTTTAAAAAATGAAGAGGCTGAAAGAGAAGTGCTCTGTACGTCCACAACCAGTTATTTTTTTTAAATCAATGAAGGTTTACCCATCACATCTTTAGGCCATCTCAGTCTTTCTGCCCAGAAAACAAGAGTTGCTTCCTGAGTTGGGTTTGTAAAATGCTTTTATAAGTGGCCCAGATGCTGCGTATTTACAATACCTGGTTTTGTAGGGCCATAGCATGTTCCTTGAGGTGTGATGGGAAAAAGACTAAAACTTTGGAAATCTCCCACCTCTTGCAGGTAAAAATAGCTGGGTATAAACAAATGAAATTAACAACCAACCTGACAGCTTAAGAACAGAGAAAAATTAAGAGCTTGTGTGTGTACATGCTTGGGCACACATGTAATGTAAATGTTCACATGTAGGGTCCAAATGCATCTTCTTAAAGTTCATAAACATTTGCAATCCACTGGCCATTCTGCTGCTGAAGATGAAGGAAATGCAGATAATTTTTACCTAACTTCTGGCATCTATCTATCTAATTTTCTTTGATGAAATCATCACTCTATGGTGAATGTTACAATTTTTTTTTTCAGACTCTTAGGAAAGTTGACTAACATCATGATATCCATTGATAGCTTTCTGGAAGCAGCCAATGAGTTGTTTCAAGTTTGCTCAAAGGAATAAATGTCATTTCAAAGTCCCCAGAGTGGCCCACATCCCTGTCCATATGACGTTATCTTCCCTGGTTCCCTCTCAATTCAAGCCCCTTCCATCCCCACTACAAGCAACATCCCACAATGGACAGTTTAGGAGTGTCACCAAGAAAGGCAAAAGGCTGTGTGTGTGAGGGGGTCGGGGAGCAGGACGCCTGATGCTTCTCTTCATAATCACATTTTTTTAACAGTTCCTTCTGGGCTTTTAATGAACATAGGAAGTGCTCTGAAAACATCACCCAACAAATTCTTTTTGGGTGACTTGTGTCCTGATTCATTCTGCAGAGGCCTGGTACATGCAGAGGTAAAAATGACCTATACGGCCCTAGGTGCAATCTGCACCCAGTATTCACAGGTGTTGTTCCTTCGTCCGAATTTCCCAAGTCTGGCCGGACCATCTCCTGCCCTGGGTCTCCAGGCACTTACCTCGCCGTTGAGGACTGCCGATGACTCCTGGCTCCTGTCCGAGGTGGGGGGCACCATGGGGAGGGCTGTGGGTTTTATGGCAATGAGCTGCACAGACCCAGAAGATGTGTCAAAGGGTTCAGCGGCCACCTTGCTGGAGTTGTCAAATAGAACCGCTCCCTCCTCTTCGTCACTCGCTGGCACTGAAGCACAACATAAACACATCGATTTTATGATGTTGGGGAGCTGTGTGATCCCAGGAGAATTTATGTTAGACTCACAGCCTAAGGACATTACTTTACTCAAAACAACCTCAGAAACGACAGCATCTGCTTCTGTGCCAAGGACTCGCTACTGCTAGCGGTTTTCCTTTAAATTTAAGATCTGTATGATTTATCCCTCCATTGCCTTATCATGGGTGGGAAAGAACTGTAGAGGTTTGAATTTAAACAGTAAGAACCATTCTTTCAAAACTATGACATAAGACAGTTGAAAAAAATTAAAAAGTAACTTCTTTCTCTATGTTTGAGTTGGAGGTGAGAAAAGTGAGTTTGGCTAAACCTTGTAACTGTCCTTAAAATCCGACAATCCTCAGACTAACAGCATTCAGTTCAGGTTCAGCCACCAATGCTACCAATCTTTACAAGATGTTAAAGTAGCAAGTCTTTCTTGGTCAACAAGCCACAGTTATAGTGGCTGACATTCTTTTTTTTTTTCCTCTTCTGAAGGTTGTTTCCCCAGTGATTTGGGTTTTGGTTTATTTGTCTAAAATAAAAGAAAGCTACGAAAATTCCGCCAGAGAAACTAATTTGAAGCTACAGACAACTCCCCTAATTAAGTAGAAGGATTTCTACCTACGCTCTGTTAAATTAATCCTCCCTTCTGACAGATAATTCTGCTGCAATTGCTAAAAGACACCAGTCTGCCTTGAGCTTCCATAACTAAGCTGACAGAAGTTCCAGGGCCCCTGGTATCTTGCTGATTTACTTGTTCTTAAAGCATATTCCCATTAAGTAACTATAAGAAAGACAGCTTATTGAGCATGGCTAGGCAAGAGATACATTAAGCCTATTCAAACAACTAAACCAGCAGACAATTTAGGAGGAAAAGAGGTGTTATATAAAATATGAATGTAATAGCAGTGTATTCATCTTTCCTCCTGTCTGCTTGAGAGATTGGGATGTTATTTAAATTATTGAGAAACACATAGTTTGTATCATTCTGTCACTTATCATAATCACAGAAGATTTGTCAAATTAAGCCAAGTAAATTGTTATTTTTACAAAGTGGCTAAAACACTTCAGAGTCTAACAATGGGTTATAATTGGATTTTTTTTTAAGTTCTGTGGGCTGATTTGCAAATAGCAGGCCACCAAGCAGCCAATGACAGAGGAAAATCTCTATTTGAATGTGTTACCAGATGCATCCATATTTTTAGATGTAGTTTTGCTGGGCAGCTCTGGCCTGGCCACCATTATCTGCCTCCTGGACACTTGCTATACAAGCCATCTATGAAAGCCAGCCAATAAGGTGGCTCCTAAGAATTCTCACCCCCTGATATTCATACCCAGGATGAATGGGACTGACCTGTGTAACCAACAGGAAACTACAGAAATGACAACGTGTTACTTCCAAGGCTTAGTTGTAAAAAAACAAAACAAAACAAAACAAAACAAAACAAAACAAAACAAAAACTCATGACTTCCACCTTGCTCTCTCTCGGATCACTTACTCTAAAGAAAGCCAGCTGCCACATTCTGAGGACCTTGAAGCAGTCCTATGGAAAGGTCCATGTGGCAAGGATCTGAAGCCCCCTGTCAAGAGCCATGAGTGACCATCCTGCAAGCCCCAGTCAAGACTTTATTTTTTATTTTCATTTTTCTCTTTTTTAAACTTCAATAGCTTTTGGGGTTCAAGCGATTTTTGGTTACACAGACGAATTCTATAGTGGTAAATTCTGAGATTTTAGTGTACCCGTCACGTAAGTAGTGTATCCTGTACCCAATATGTAGTCTTTTATCCCTCACTCCCCCCTCACCCTCTCCTCTGTCCCCAAAGTCCATTATATCACTCTGTGTGTCTTTGTGTCCTCATAGCTTAGCTCCCACTTATGAGTGAGAATATATAGTATTTGGTTTTCCATTCCTGAGTTACTTCACTTAGAATAATGGCCTCTAGCTCCATCCAAGTTGCTGCAAAAGACATTATTTCATTTCTTCTTATGGCTGAGTAGTGTATTCCATGGTGTATATATACTACATTTTCTTTATTGGTCGATGGGCACTTAGGTTGGTTCCCTATCTTTGCAATTGTGAATTGTGCTGCTATAAACACACATGTGCAAGTGTCTTTTTTCATATAATACTTCTTTTCATTTGGGTAGATACCCAGGAGTGGGATTGACTGCTGGATCAAATAGTAGATCTACTTTTACTTCTTTAAGGAATCTCTGTACTGTTTTGCATAGGGGTTGTACTAATTTACATTCTCACCAGCAGTGTATAAGCATTCCCTTTTCACCACATCCATGCCAACATCTATTGGTTTTTGCCAGTTAAGACTCTAGATGACAGCTCAGGCCAACATCTTGACTATGACCTCATGAGACCCTGAGCCAGAATGACCCAGCTAAACCAGTCCTAAATTCCTTACCCACAGATATGATATGAGATAATAAATGTAGATAATAAATTTCAGGTTGCTAGGTGCTGGGGTAATTTGTTACATGGCAATAGATAACTTACAGACCTTCTAAACAACCTTCCACCTCTGAGCTTTCCCTCTTCTCCCTCTATCCCTAAAATACATATTCCACCAGTAACCAGGATGGATAAACTTTCCAGAAGGTAACCAGATGGCATTCTTCCCCTGACCAGAACCCTCTGAAGGCTTCATCTCTGTCAGAATAAAACCAAGGTCTTCCCGCCAAGATCCTGTCAATCTAATGCTGGCCCCCTTGCTGAACTCATTTAGTCCCTCTCCCCTCATCTGCTCTGCTCCAGCCACAGTGGCCTTCTTTTTTCTTTCTTTTTTTTTTTTGGTGGAGTCTTGCTCTTGTTGCCCAGGCTGGAGTGCAATGGCATGATTTCGGCTCACTGCAACCTCCGCCTCCTGGGTTCAAGGGATTCTCCTGCCTCAGCCTCCCGAGTAGCTGGGATTACAGGCCCCGCCACCACGCCCAGCTAATTTTTGTATTTTTAGTAGAGACGGGGTTTCACCATGTTGGCCAGGCTGGTCTCGAACTCCTGACCTCAGGTGATCCACCCACCTTGGCCTCCCAAAGTGCTGGGATTACAGGCGTGAGCCATCGTGCCCGGCCCACAGTGGCCTTCTTGAACACATCAGGCTTGTTCCCATCTCAGGAATTTTGCACTAGCTATTCCCTCTGCTCAGAATGCCCTTTTCCCAGATCTCTATATGCCCAGTTCTCTCTTGCTTTTCAAGTTGCAGCTTAAAAATGACTTTCCTTAACCAACAATCTAATCCCCCCTTCATTACCCTGTTCTATTTTCTTCACAATGGTTACCACTACTGATATGTTATACTGATTTACAGTGTACCCTCACCCCTTTCCCTAGACTAGAAGCTCCATTCTTGCCCATCTTTTTAAAGACTAATGCCTATTGCTTTTAACAGTGTCTCACATATAGTTGGCCTTCAATAAAGATTGGTTGTGAGTGAAGAAATGAATGACTCAATTTCCCTGACTTGGAAAAGGAGATGCTGTTAGTACCTGCAGAACAGGTAACCATGCAGAAGTTAAAGTCATGCTATCCCTCAACCCATCAGAGGGTGAAGAGATGGCACTTAGCATTTTTATCACTTCTGGATGGTGACACCCTCACTCCCCAAACTGAACGGGGTAAGGTGGGCAGCATAGCATTAATGGGACAGGAAAATGACACCTTGGGAATTGTACAAGCTATAGTTATTTTTCACTCTTTCAAAAAAACTTTTATTCAGATTTGTACAATTCCTCTAGGCTTTTGAAGAGAAAAATAATTAGTTATCCTTCCCCTAAAAAAGACTTTATAGGCAAATATATTAAAAGACATTAAATATTAATGCTTCAAAATGTGGTATGAACACAGCAGGTTCATGGGGATTTTTAATGCATGATTAGTCCCTAAAGAAAAAGCATGGGAGAATGCTTAAGGGGCCACAGTGAAACTGCAAGTGTCTTAGCATAGCATCGCATCACAGTAAATGCCACTGAATAGTTATCTTGTATCTGATTGTGCCTTGTTTTTACTGTTGTTTTTAATTTCAGTAAATCAGGTTGGACAGAGAGATTTCATTTCTTCATGTCTGAACTGGCATGGGGAGTGCCTCCCTCTCCCATTTGAGGCAGAAAGTGTTCTTATCCAACACGTGCTTTTTCTGAAAATTTCATTAAAGCTCAGACAATCTATAATAGCATCATTATTCTCTAGTATTATTTATTAGATAAAGCAAGTCTTCACTTCATTGGGAAGGCAAAGAAAGAATAACTGAAACTGTGTTTTTGAGCTAGTATCTCTGACAAATCTTCCTTGATGTTTTAATTCCAGATGCCCCATAAAGAGCTCCTAATAAATTAGTAATTCATCCTCTAAACTTTCTAATTCTTTGCCTGCCTCACCTGCCCCATACCTTAGACAGGTGAAGTTTGATTATTAATAGATTCTGAGCCCTACCAGTGAATTCTCTCAGTGACATAAAGGAAGGGGGCATACTTTAAAGGGTTCAGGCAGGTGGTTGTTTGCTTCCAAATGACTTAAGATGCAAAGATATGTATTATTTTCAAAAATCTTGAACTTACTTTTAACTCTTTCCTATTAAACATATTTTCCATGTTTAGAAATTGGCTCAGAAATTCAAATGTCTATTTGGTTGAGAAAGCACCAAACTCTTTTTGCTTTCAAAATCCTAGCTCTCATGTCTGACTTTCCCACTTACATGTAAGCATCATTATGAAACAGACTCTAAAATTGCAGCGATGGTAACTGATGTGGCCATTGAGCTATAAGGACCTATGCCAGCCATCTGGCTAGCAGAATAGTGTCTTTTCCTTTCAAAGTTCTTTTTTACATAAAAGAAAAAGATTGGAAGCTACAGATGTAACAAACCTGATAGAAAACAAGAACAGTTTTAGAATAACAGCCTGCTACATTTAACATTTATTAACCTTAGTAACTTAAGCTTCTGTGAAAAATAGATACTAAGCCATAAGACAACAGCATTTGAATATTCCATATCAACAGAATAATGGATTCTCAGAGGCCATGTGCATACAGAAAGTCCTCAATACTTTTTGCAAGCTGGCAAGGTGATGAAAATATACTTTTTTGTTTTCTCCACAATTCCATTCAATGTCATTTTCTTCCTTCCTTCCTTTGGTTCATCTTCCAATGCAATAAAATACACTATTGATTTTATTGGTAAACTCTAACCTAGGATTATGATAAAATGGAACCCTCTGATAAAAACAACAAGTGTATGTTTTCATAAAGTTCTATCCTAAAATTCTGATGTCTGTTGAGTTTTACATGAGACAAGTTGGTTCTATTGGTTCTACTGGAAAAGTTCAAACCTAAAACCTTACGGAATAGAAACCTGTAAACAGAAGCAACCAGCCCCCCAAATTCACTGGGTTTACTTTTGGCAAAAATAAAGTGCAACCAAGCAAGCACTCTAACCCTGGAAGGATGGCTTTTTAATAGAGCAAACAAGCAAAAACCTCAACCTGGCATAGTAACTGCATTTTATTCCTGCACCCACCTGTTTTATTTCTAAGCCTTATATTTAAATAGTCAAAGTGACCTAAATAGAATAAAGAGGCAGGAGGAGAGGGCAGACAAGCAGAAATGGGCAAGGTCAGCAGGGACATCTAGAGCAGGCCAGAATTTCACCAGCTAAGTGGGGAGTGACGGGGTCAGGAACCAGCCCCACTCTCTCATCTTCTATGGATTATTTGCAGGGAAGGGGAAAAGACATCACTTTGCAAATGTGTATTCATAAAGAAAGGAGCTTTGTATGGCACAGTTTAAAGCAAGAGAAAGGGCATAGAACAATATGCGCACTGATTCCATTTAATAAAACAAAATAAAGCATTACAACAAAAAACAAAGATACATGTGTATTGCCATATGCATAGTAAAAAGGTCAGAGAAAGATATACATTGAGTTATTCGGGGTCCTCTGAGGACTGGGGTGGGTGAGTGGGGCATCTGGAGGAGTGAGTAGTCTTTGATTTGACCTTGTAAATTTCCAGGAAGTATATAAAGGAAGGAAGGAAGGAAAGGAAGGAAGGAGGGGGAGGGGAGGGAGTAGGCGGAGCTGGGAGGGCGGGAAGCACCATCTTGGATAGATGGTGATGGCCGTCACAGTATTTAGTTAAAACAACCTTCCCCATATGGCTTCACTGTCCATTGTCTCTGCTGTCACCTCACTCTCTCTACCCATCTCTCTTATCACCTCATCCTAGGAAGAAAGAGAAGAAAGTTGCTGAACTCAAGTCCCCTTCCCAAGATCTAGAGCACCTCTGACTCCGTGTGCTCACTCGATAGAGCTGATGGCAGGATTTCTAGTGGTCCCAGGTGGGGCAGATATTGCAGGAAAATTCCACAGGTCACACCCCATTTCTGATGTAGAAAGCACAGCCTCTGTGTTACAGGCATGCAGAATTCAGGGAAAGACAAAATTTCAACCACCAAATAGGTATGACAGTTTAAACTTTAAACAAGTGCTTTATATAATAGCTGAAAATGGGAACAGGGAGCACATTTTCCCTACAGAATACAAATCCATGTGTCGTTATTTCTTTTCTTTTCTCTGCTCTTACCGTTTTCAGTCGGAAAAAAAAAATAAAAGTGATATTTGAAAACAAAAAAATATTCCAACACTAGCTTCAAGAAAGAGTCCCTGCACTATGCAAACTCCTTTGAAAGGGAAGTGCAGCTAAGCAGGGTGCTAGAGGGTTTAGCTTTTCACCTGGCATTTCTGTAGGGCTCCACCTACAACCCATTAAAATCCAAAAGGACTTTTCCCTGATATGAAATCAGTAGTGCTGGGTACTTGAATTCTGGCCCCAGTAAACCAGCATCACACACGGAAGGGCCACATGGAGATGAGAGTCAGAACCAAGGTGGGAACAGGAGAGGGAGCTGCACAATGATGTTGACAGAGGCCATCTATAGACAATGCCACTCCACAACTACGGTGCTCAGATGACTGATAAATAAACCCCAACGCCAATCCTTACAGGAAAGGAGAGATCTGTGTGAGAAACTAAGTAGTTCAGCTTCCCTGGAGAATTAAGACAGAAGCATATAACTTTTTTTTTCTTTTCTTTTCTTTTTTTTTTTTTTGATGACAGATCTGTTCCTTTATTGTTTTGGGTTAGTTTTTTCCTGGGAGAAGTGGAGTTGCAATATCTGGACTCAGTGGCACAGACTGAACCCATGAAACTTATCAGGGGAGTCAGGGCAGGAAAATGAGAGGAATCTCCAAGATGAGCAGTTATTTCAGAGATCTGCTGCCTTAGTGGAACTGGTGCAAGAAATTGCGTCAATTCATGTGATTAGAAATTAGAAATTTTAGAGGATTTCTAACTAGAGAATTAGAAAAACCTCTAAGCAAACATCAGTTCATTCCGCAAAAGGTTTTTCCTAAGGAACTACACCATTTCATAAGAACAGGGGCGGAGGAAGTGAGACAGGACAATTCAGACAAGGGGTAAGGTGAGAACCCAAGGGGTACATACAGACTCCTGGCCCTTGTGGGGCAGAATAGAAAGAACGACTGAGGGTCAGAGCCCAGTGGCTGTGTGTGAGTTTGTGCACACGTGTGCACGCATGTGTGTGCGGGCACGCGTGGGAGCAGCTGGGGGTGGTTCTTGGAGGGAAGGCTTCTCACCATTTCTCTTCCTTGCCTCCTCCTTTGTCACTTTCTGCTGTGCCATTACATTCTGGGGTGAGCGTCTCCCTGAGCTGGGCTTCCCTGATTCGTTGCTGATGACAGAGCCATTCTCACTGGGCGACCTGCTGGAGGTAACCATAGCAACAGGGGAGACGGTAAGTTTCAACTAGAGCAGCCGCCTCTCAAGGTTATTTTATTTGCACAGTTTAATGTCTGTAGCCTTTCATTCCAGTTTAATGGACAAAGAGGAAACGATACAGAAAAAGAAAAAAACAAAACCACCCACACTACAGCGTGGGTTAAGCAGCTGGCTGCTCGGAAGTCCGTTTTGCCGTGCTCAGCCCATAGAGTTCAGTGAGCGCAGCCTTGGGTGCCCATCTCTGTTTCATTAACCACCACCCGCCGTGACTATGGGAATGGTGGCAAGGGTGGCATCCATGCAGCATAGCCTGTTTTTAATACCCAGCACTCTGGATAGTGTTGCAGAGTGTTTAAATCACATGGGAATTTCCAGGGACATGTATCACACGTGGTTCTCTTTGGCTATTGTCTTTACCACATAGACTTTGACTACAAAACATTCCGTTTCCAATTTTCAGTTTTCGGGCTGCTCTTCTCACTCCAAGGAAAGGCATCAATAAGCAAATTTCTGTAGCAAAAACTCAACTATGCCTTATTCTTTGCATAATACCCCATCACTAGGGGCTTCACTCTGACACACACACACACACACACACACACACACACACACACAAACATTCTCTCTCTAACTCTCTAACTGTGGCAACTGCTACCCACTTAACATTTTGATTTTGAGCTATTTGTTCATTCAGGAAATACGTTTCATTCATCTACTCTGTGCCAGACATATACATATGTGGAGACTCTAAGATAGCACCCCATGCCCCCCAAGAGCTCCCCACCAGGATCACCTACTGTGTACCAAGGACTTTACTGCGTGCTTTTAAAACTGCTAATGGATCATTATAATGAGCCACTGATTTGGTGGCTGCCACCCTTGTTTAGCAAGTGAGGAACATGAAGCTCATGGAAGTGAAGTGTGTTGTCTAGGACATAGTAGGAAAGTGGCGAATCAGTCCTGGAAGCCAGGCTCCCCCTCCTCCCTCATCCCAGAACACCTTCCCTTTGCTGTCCCATACAATGACCAAAGATAAGGCAGCCCTTCACACAGGGCAAGTCACAGAGCCTTCTTTCCTTCCTCAGGGCGGGACTCTCATCTTCTGGAACTCTGTCAGGGAATGGGATCCAGAAAGCCTCCCTCATGCTGCCTCTGGCCTCAGAACATGCCAGCCCGTGGGTCCGGCTGAGCATAAAGACTGACTGCCTCCCCACTGTGGGAGACAAGCGGGAGGCAGGTATCTAGCGGCCTCTGTTCTTCTATTGTCAATCGTCCAGATTTAGAAAATAATGACATCTATCCCTGACAATGGAGAATTGTCTGGAATAAATGCACTTGATCAGTAGGCGAGCAGCTTCTCAGCTGGAAGCTGTGTATCCTTCCGGATGCTCCTCTGCCTCCTCCTCCCTTCTCCCTCCTCCTCCCTTCTCCCCTCTGCCTCCGGAAATTTCCAGTTCTCAGTCTGTACACTTTAATACCCTAAAAGCCATGAACAATCAAAGTTGGGATATCTATGGGATAAGGCAGTATCTGCCAAGAACATTCCGTGGCACACTAAAGCCAAGTGGGACATTCCTCGCCAAAGTTCCCTAAATGTGGGAAATGCTCACTATATTCCTTCTTTGGAGATTCCTAATGCACCTTAGCATATCAAAGGCTCTGATCAGTTCTGTCACAGAGAGATTCATCTGGTCTCGTTTAACCCAACATTTCCAAATTTATTCGGTCACAATCTTTCTCATCTTAATACCTTTTAACATCATATAAAATGAGTAATACAAAGAATGTAGTCTGTGAAAACAAGGATCGGTACTAACTTGTTGAATATATGTTATTTTATTTACCCAACAGCTATTTGATTGCTGAGTGCTGGGTGTGCAACACCCAAACATAAAAGACACACACCCCTAGATTGTTTCTGGACTCTTCTGGTGAATGGCACCTACTCTCCCAACTGGCGGCACTGGTACAAAAGGCTTTAATTTGCGTCCAGAAAAAAAAATAGGAAAGGAAAAGGCTTTTTATAACCTATTTCACATTCACAAAATAGTGAATGACTGATTGAGTTTTTGAGAGTCTTGATCTGTCACCCAGCCTGGAGTGCAGTGGTGCAATCTCGGCTCACTGCAACCTCCGTTTCCCGAGTTCGAGTGATTCTCCTGCCTCAACCATCAGAGTAGCTGGGATTACAGGCGCCCGCCGCCATGCCAGGCTAATTTTTTAGTATTTTTAGTAGAGCTGGGGTTTCATCATGTTGCCCAGGCTGGTCTCAAACTCCTGACCCCAAGTGATGCATTTGCCTCGGCCTCCCAAAATGCTGGGATTACAGGCATGAGCCACCGAGCCTGGCCTGAATGGTTTTTGTAGCATTTTCATACCATTTCCCTCATTTGATCCTGAAACAATTTTCTGGCTGCTCCTCTCACTCCAAGGAAAGGTGTTAATGAGCAAATTTCTGTAGCAAAACCCAACTCTGCTTTACTCTTTGCTTCTGTTTATAGACACATTTACAGGGAGTCATCAAGTCAAAACTTCCGTTCAAAAATAGAGTGAGATTTGTGCCCGTGTGTTTGTGCATGCATGTCCACTCACATGACAGTAACAAAAGTGTTTTTGAAAGCAAGAAAGTGTCACCTGCGAGGCTGCAGTTTGAGGCTACTGAATGCAAAAGTCCCCATTCTGAGGACATGGAGCTGGGAAGAATATTCTCGGGTTGAGGATTAATCAACTGCCGAACATGGCACGAATCACGGCCAATCACTACACTGAAGTGCCCTTTGCAAACAGCTGTAAACGGTTGATTCTCCATCCTGGCCCAACAATCTCAGTCATATATCAACAAAATAGCCTCACCAAGACCCTACACTGGAGGAAAAGGACGCAGAACACCCATCTGACTGTCTGGAAGTGACTGAACCCTCAGAGTTCAGTGCTAAAATAATTCATAAAAATTGAGATATCTTAACCATCAAACCACCGGTTTCTCCTGGTTTTCACTTGAGAAACTTCTTGGATCATCTAACAGACCCATTCTGAGAGGGAAGGCAGTCTTTATCTAGCAGGAATGAGAAAAATGATGTGGCAAGATGGGGAAGCCAGAAACATAAGATTCATAACGGGTTTTCTCTTGACTTTGATGTTTTGAAAATCTTTTCAAATGATCAGAGACTCCCATGGTCAGCTGGACTTCAACAGAGAGGAGGTTTCTCTTACAGCTTTGGAAATGATCTAACCAGCCCTTAGTAAAATTATATTTTTATGCTAAAATTATGAAAGTGGCCAGGCATGGTGGCTCATGCCTGTAATGCCAGCACTTTGGGAGGCCAAGGTGGGCAGATCACTTGAGGTCAGGAGTTTGAGACCAGCCTGGCCGACATGGTGAAACTCCATCTCTACCAAAAAAATACAAAAATTAGCCAGGCATGGTGGCACATGTCTGTAATCCCAGCTACTCGGGAGGCTGAGGCAGGGGAATTGCTTGAACCCGGGAGGCAGAGGTTGCAGTGAGCTGAGATCTTGCCACTGCACTACAGCCTGGGCAACAGAATGAGACTCTGTCTCGAAAAAGAAAAAATTATGAAGCAAATATAGAAATCCTTCAGGAATATATGTGTTATCATCTTCATCTGTATTTGTTTCATCAGTTAATATTTCTTATTAAAAATTTGGGGGTAATTGATTAGCAAGAGTAGATTCCTTGCTAATCCAAGAAGAAGTGCTTATTCTAAAAAAATTTAAAGAAAACTTTACACAATTTAAATTATTCAACTAGAATGGGTGAAAAATAATTTTTATTCTTCCTGAAAGTACTATGTTCATATCCTAATTTTAGTAACACTATTTATTTTCAGTGTCCTCTAAATAGGTGATAAATAAGTTATTAATAAGCCTTTGTTGTATTTGGCAAAGATCATGATGAGAATAATAGCTGTAGGTAATACTACTTGCAAGTCAATTCAGGTAAATCATCTATTGCTTCTCTGTACATTTCAGCTCTGCTCTGCTTATGCTCTCTCATGTTGGGTGCGTGATTGCAGTAATGGTCCTAATTTGTTTGTACATCTCTTGGTCCTAATTTGTTCGTACATCTCTGTCAACAAGCTTTGGGTAGTCTTCTCTCATGCTGAGTCTGGACTTGACCATGAGACTTGCTTTATCCAAGAGGACAGTAGCAACCATGACACAAGCAAAGATTTGAGAAATGCTTATGCTTTGGGTGTTTTTTGTTTTTCTTGCTGCTCTGCAACCACATTGTGAGAAAGCCAGGACTAGCCTGCTAGAGGATGAGAAACCATATGAACAAAGGCCCTTGCTACCTGGGGTATTCCTGATAAGATTAGTATCAACAAGTCAGCCCAGTTGATCTGTCACCTGACTGGAGATGCATAAGCAGGCCCAGCTAAGGTCAGCCAAGCCTAGCTGAGACCAGAAGAACCATCCAGCTGAGCTCAGCCCAATGTGCTGACCCACCAAAATAATGAGCTAAAAAAAAATGGTTGTTGTTTTAAGTTATTAAGCTTTGGAGTGCTTTGTTATGGAGCAATAGGTAACTAATCCACATGCCCCAACCTTCTTTCCTACACAAGCTGAAATCCAACCCTCTGTTCCTCTTCCTGAGGTACCAAGAGTTCTTGGAAGAAAATATGCAGTCTTGTTGCTTGATTCCAGTACAAAATGTGGGTAATTGATACAGACGATCCCTCCTTCCTTCTCAAATTACTTCCTTCTCTTGGCTTCTTGGATCTTACTCTCTCTTTGTTCTTCTCATGCCCTTCTTCCTGACACTATTCCTTTTTCTTTGTTGATCCTTCCCCATCTTCTGGACCTCTAATCATGACAATGTTCCAGGGTTCAGTTCTTGGATCTTTTCTTTTCTCTATCTGTACTCTCCTAGGTGATTCTTCCCAGTCTTATAGAGTAATTACACACTGACCACTCCTACATTTATATTTCTACCCTAGACCACTCCTCTAAACTCCAGACTCAAGGTTAACTGAGTTCTCAACATCTCCACTCATATACCTAACAGGCATCTCAAATGTAACATGTCCACACTCAAACTCTTGACCATCCCCTACAAACTACTTCTCCTCCAGTATCCCCCAACACAATAAATGGCAAATTCACTCCTCTCCACTTCTGTCACTCCACAAGAATCTATCAGCAAATCTTTTCAGCTCTTCCTTCAAAACACCTCTAAACTCCAACCACTTCTCACACCATCCCATGACACGATCGTCTCTCACCTAGGTCACGGCAGTAGCCTTGTAAAGGGTCTCCCTGCATCCACTCTGCATCCCTACAGTCTGTTTGCCACACAGCAGCCAAAGTGAGTCTGTTGTATTTATTTTAATTATATTTTATTTTGAGACAAGCCCTCACTCTGTCATCCAGGCTGGAGTGCAGTGGCACAATCACAGCTCCCTGCAGCCTTGAATTCCTGTGCTCAAGCCATGCTCTCACCTCAGCCTCCCCAGTAGCTGTGACTACAGGTACACACCACTGCACCTGGCTAATATTTTTTATATAATTTTATTTTGTAGAGACGAGGTCTTGCTTGGTTGCCCACGTTGGTCTCAAGCTCCTGGCTTCAAGTGATCCTCCTGCCTCGGCCTCTCAAACTGCTGGAGTTACAGGTGTGAGCCATGCACCCAGCCCAAAGTGAGCCTATAAAACTGCAAGTCACATCATGTCATTGCTTTTCTCAAAACCCCCCAATGACATCTGATCTTTATTCACAATAAAATCCCAAGTCCTGACTTTGGTCTGTAAAGCCTGACATAATCAACCTCCAGCAACTTGCCAGACTCATCTGCCACCACTTCCTCCCTAGTTCATGCCAGCCCCCTTGATCCTGCTTTTCTTTAAGTATGTCAAGAAGTTCCCTCCTCTGGGCGATGCACAAACTGTTCCATCTGTTTCGTACATTCCTCCTGCAGATAACCTCGTGGTTTATACCTCAATCAGGTCTTTCTCAAATGTCACTTTATCAAAAAAGTCTTCCCTAGCTTCCTAGCTAAAATAGCACTATGTCTCCTTCTCCATTTCTCTATCCCTTAACTGTGCTTTGGTTTTCTTCTTTGTACTCATCACCACCTGATCCAGAAATAGATAGATTTTACCTGTTTCTCTATTTGTTTATTATCTATCTCTCCTCACCAGATTATAAGCTGCCCAAGAACAGTAACTCTGTCTTGTTCACAGCAATATCCCCAGTGCCTGATAAACAGCAAATGATCAATACACATGTTAGATAAAAGGAGGGGAGAAAGGAAGGAGACATGGATGATGTAGTTTTTTCAGTCTCCATAGTAGTCTCAGGCAACAAGGGAGTTGACAACGCATGTTGGTTTAGCCAGCCAACGCGGCTTGCCATAGGGTTCATTACCTCTTTATAAGGCTATTGCAAAGTCTTACAATGAGTCTCTTGGCCTCTAAACTAACCTCTCCCATCTCTCATCCACACTGCCATCAAAGTATCCTTCTAACATATAGGCTAACATCATTATCTTCCAAAAGACCTTTCAGTGGCTCCCCGTTGCCTAGATAATAAAGGTCAGATGCCTTGCCAGGCAGTCAAGACTTTCCAAAATTTTAATTTATCTTCTGGTTTCATTCTTCACTACATCCAGCCACTATGAACTCTAAACTCTGGGGACACTCACCATTTAGAGAACAAACCTGTCCCTTTTCTCTCCCCACTCTTTTTAGACTGGATGCCCTTATATCTTCCCACCTATTCAGATCCCACTCACTTTTCAAGGCTCAGCTAAAGGATAACCTTCTCCACGAGGTTTTCCCTGTTCAGAATTAAGTTCTTCCTCCTGACTTTACTACAGCCCTGCAGTCTCCAGTGCAGGCACCAATACCTCATCCTCGGTATTCCAGTTATTTTTCTCTCCGCCTCCTCCATCATGAGACTCCTGGGGTCACAAATCAATCTTACACATTTTTGTAGTCCTAAAGGGATGTCTTCAAAGTGCTCTGCTTATAGTATAAATTAAATATATGGTTTTGACTGAAATCAGAAACCCCTATTGAGAAATTGCCAGATAAAATACAACTATATTGAATCAAAGGCACTGCTTTTAATATAAGTTTAAAATATAAGTGTAACATCAGTGCTAAATTTGCTATAGTAAATATATGAACTAAATCTCTGCTGTTGTGGTTATCAGAGACATAAAACCTTACAAAGCGTAGCCCAGGCTAGGCAGGTATTGTGATTCTCATCATCTCCTTTAGTCTCTTTTCAAATATTCAAAATGAGCATGAAGGGGAATTTTTAAAGAGAACCGTGGAATTAACTTGAGGGCATCAGCTTTTCTCATCATCAATTATTCTCTTGCTGACACAGAGAGGCAGAAGTCAGCCCCGTGCCTACCTCTTCCTGGTTTCAGTGGATTTGGCGGTCTTGATGGTGCTTCCATCCTGAGCGACGTCTCTTTCCTGAGGAGCATCTCTAATGGGCAGTGGGAGAACCACTGTCTCCTGAGTCACAGGGATGACCTCCTCATCTGCCCCTTGCTGGCCCAGGTGTTGCTTGGCATAATCAAAGCCTTGCACAGGCTGCAAAGAGGAAACAGATTTGCAGTCGTATTTCTAGCGAAGTGTGACTCTAACCATGGCTTTAAGAGATGACAGGCAGCAAAAAGATGGGACCAAACTTAGCTTTCTAATTAATAAACAAGAGTTAACTCAAATCCCCATCATTATTTCCGTCTCTTCAAAATCAGAATCCATGTTAATTCCATCCAGCTACAGAATCTCTACAGATAAGACTTGCTCAGAAAAATGAAGACTGTAAACAACATGTAAACAGGTGTTTAAGATCAAACCTCTTTCAAAGATTTTAGACCATGAATTTTAAGTCAATGGATGCTGCAAATGAGAAACAACTCAATTAATACATTAAACAGGTCCTGTGGATCACCTCCTGCCTAGAAATGTTTGGTCACCTCTTCACTCCATTCTCGTATAGCTTTATGTGTAATAGCACATGTGTGACTTTGCCAAGCCACTTGAACTCTGAACCTCAATTTTTTCATCTGAGAACTGAAGATAATCTTATCTGCTTTACTTCTACCACCCTTGAGTATTAAAGTGGATCACAGATCTGAACACAGAGGGAAGTGTGTTATCACATGTGAAGCCGTACAATCATTAATAATGAAATGGAATTTATGGAGTCACTCTTTAATCCAGACTTCGCCCTTAAGTAGGCTGGCTCTCCTATAATGCATTCCTGGGAAACTGGCAAAGTTTTATTGCACAGCATCTGAAATCCCAAGTGCATAAGGCAGCTCTGAGCAAAATCCAACAGACATCTAGTAGTGTGGTAATGAAAACCAAGACGCATATTTAAACAATTCCTGAAAGTGTCTCTATTTTGCTTTACACCCCAAAGCAGTACAATACAGATTTGAGGCAGGACAGTGTGGTGGGTAAAAGTGGCAGTTTCAAAAGCAGATTGCTTGGGTTCAAATCCCGACTCCGTCATTCATTAGCTGTGTGACCTTGGGTAAGTTACTGCAACTCTCTGCTCATCAGTTTCTTCATCAAGCTTAAAAGATGGCCATTGTTATTATGTTAATTGGAGATAGTATAAACATGATACAATTTATATGTTTGTGAGAGCAACATGTAACCACTTTTAAGGGGATGCTGTAAGGATTAAATAAGAAATTCAAGTTCAGCATTTAGATAAGTGCCTAGCCAATAGTAAGTGCTCAATCAATATTAGTTATTACTTTTGCTTTCCTGATAAATCATAGTCCAGGTGAAATGGACAGCAGTGATTTTTTTCAAGAAAATCTGCAGATGAAATTCAAGCTCTGTCATTTAGAGTATATCAGAACTTGATATGATCAGAAGCCCCTCCTTCAGCAGCTAATTTTTATTATACTTTAAGTTTTAGGGTACATGTGCAAAACATGCAGGTTACATATGTATACATGTGCCACGTTGGTGTGCTGCACCCATTAACTTGTCATTTAACATTAGGTATATCCTCCTAATGCTATCCCTCCCACCTCCCCCACCCCACAACAGGCCCTGGTGTGTGATGTCTCCCTTCCTGTGTCCAAGTGTTCTCATTGTTCAATTCCCACCTATGAGTGAGAACATGCGGTGCTTGGTTTTTTGTCCTTGCGATAGTTTGCTGAGAATGATGGTTTCCAGCTTCATCCATGTCCCTACAAAGGACATGAACTCTTCATTTTTTATGGCTGCATAGTATTCCATGGTGTATATGTGCCCATTTTCTTATTCCAGTCTATCATTGTTGGACATTTGGGTTGGTTCCAAGTCTTTGCTATTGTGAATAGTGCCGCAATAAACATACGTATGCATGTGTCTTTATAGCAGCATCATTTATAATCCTTTGGGTATATACCCAGTAATGGGGATGGCTGGGTCAAATGGTATTTCTAGTTCTATATCCCTGAGGAATCGCCACACCGACTTCCACAATGGTTGAACTAGTTTACAGTCCCACCAACGGTGTAAAAGTGTTCCTATTTCTCCATATCCTCTCCAGCACCTGTTGTTTCCTGACTTTTTAATGATCGCCATTCTAACTGGTGTGAGATGATATCTCATTGTGGTTTTGATTTGCATTTCTCTGATGGCCAGTGATGATGAGCATTTTTTCATGTGTCTTTTGGCTGCATAAATGTCTTCTTTTGAGAAGTGTCTGTTCATATCCTTCGCCCACTTTTTGATAGGGTTGTTTTTTTCTTGTAAATTTCAGCAGCTAATTTAGCCAGAGATACAACAGGAAGGTTCCAGCGGATTTAACAATCCAGTCTAGAACTGTGGCCTAACCTGTCAAATCTCACCACTGTGTCTCAGAACAGGATGGAGTTTTATTGCTAACTCCAACATGGCTTTTTTATTTGAGGCTGTCTATAGCTTTGCCATGGACAGCTCCCCCAGTTCCCTGAGAAACTCACTCTGGGAAGTATAATCACCCCCTTCTCTTCTCTGAGACATACACTCTGACCTATGTGGTGATCAGTGACATTCTGAGGCCAGGACCTGGAACTGCGTTTCTGAAATAGGGTTTGCTGAGGGAAGGTGGTCTCTGTTCTTTTCCTTCCCTGTCCTTGGCCTATAAGAAACAGAAGCAAGCCTTCAGATAACTTGGTAATGTCTCTCAAATACTGAATTGCCTGCTCCTTCCATAATCAATTGGTCACCAATTAGATTCAACGTCTGAAATGTTTCTGGAAGCTGACTTTTCCTCCCCAGGTCCACTGTTTCACTATTTCCTGCCTCGGTCTCGTTGCTTCCAATTTAGCTCCTTTCCAGGCCTCCCCGATGAGCTTCCAAAATTATCTCCCTTAAAACACATGTGGTTGCGTCACTCTCATTTAAAATATGAAGGGCCTTGAATGTCTCCCCAAATGCTTTGGCAAGGCATTCAAAGCCCTTCACATGCCAGCTGAACCTGCCTGCCCAGTTTCATGTCCTGTTGACCCCTTTTGTACCACACCCTCACGCCCCCATTATCCTATTCAGTTTTGTTCCAACGATAGGGACTGTCCTTGGTGCTGAACATATAAAGTTAAATAACTGGTTCCTCACCCTCAAGCGGCTCAGTTTCAGCTTCATTTGATATTAATGGCACAGTACTAAAGACAGTATACAACTTATATCATTGCATCTTCACTATAGTTCAAGAAGGTAGGTATTATCATGAGTTCCCAGTTTACAGATGAAGCAACTGAGGTTCAGAGAGGTTAAGCAGCTTACGCAGGCTCACAGAGCTGTGATGGAGTCAGCATTTGAACCTAGGACTATGTGACACAGAGCTGGAACATCTAACCACGATTTGATGAGTCTTCCCACAGCCCTTCCTTTCCTTCTGCAGCTTCCTATCTTGGTTAGCATCTCCTGCCGTACATGGCCTGGCTCCTATGCAACACTCCTGGCCTGTCTGTGAGGAAGTGGGAGGCTCCAACAGCAGCTAAGACTTCCCAAGAACCTAATGATAGGGAAAGCTGGCTCTGGTCCCATCTCCCACTTTCTCTCTCCTCCCTCTGGATTTGGCCCCTTACCTTTCACACAGGGTTAAAGTTATCCACTGGATACTTCAGGTGATTGGGTCAATGATGGATATACACAAAGAGAGACATTAAGGAATTCCAAGCTTAAAAGGTTCCCATTGTTATTAGGTTAATTACACCTGTGTTGTTAATCACAACAATCCCTGTGTATGTTTGGTACTTACAGCATGCAAAACACTGTTATCTCATCTCATCCTCCAACAAACCTGTGAGGTAAGCAAGGCAAACATTACAGCCTTCATTTCACAGATAAGAAAACAAAAGCTCAGAGAGGTTCAGTGACTTGCCCAAGATCACACAGCTAAGTGGCGCAGGACTACTACTCCCTCACTCTTCTGACTCCCAGGGTAGCGGTCTTTTAGCTTTCAACTGGAAAATTACCTGAGATTAATCAACTGCCCATTAGACACATTAGTGACTCCTAACCCCAATAATAAAATATCATGAAGTAGCTATAGTTACTTCAATTCGTTTTATAAAATTATCAAATCAAAATAATCTCCAGTAATTTCAATGGCGGATACACTGCCAAGACCTTTTAAGAAAAAAAGCATGGGTAACAATAAAAGCCAACTTATAGGTAGTATTTATTATATACTAGACATATCTCAAAGTGATGTATATATATTAACTTAATCCTCACAACACTCTATACGATTATTGTTATATCTCCATTTTACAGATGGAAAAATTGAGGCACAGAGGTTAAGTAACTTTCCTATTGTTGTTCCAACGACAGGGACTGTCTTTGGTGCTGAACATATAAAGTTAAATAACTGGTTCCTCACCCTCAAGGGGCTCAGTTTCAGCCTCATTTGATATCAATGGCACAGTACTAAACACAGTACATAACTTTTCTCATTGCATCTTCACTATAGTTCAAGAAGGTAGGTATTATCATGAGTTCCCAGTTTACAGATAAAGCAACTGAGGTTTAGAGAGGTTAAGCAGCTTACCCAGGCTCACAGAGCTGGGTAAGTTATCCTATAGGTATCCTATAGATAGTATCCTACAGATAGTAGTGGGAAAGAGGAAACAGTTGGCTGTTCTTAGGGGGTGACTGGCCTGTCCCAAGCAGATGTTCATGCAAAAGATTACAGACCCTCCAAGCTCCATCCTGCATCTGGATATAGTCCTATCCACCCTCTTCTAAGGTGGCCTCTTCCAGGGAAACGTGATCTCTTCAATTCTATGAAGGGAAAAACTAGAAAAATGGCTGTACATCCAATGACAGAGTAAAGGGAAGTGAACTAGGAAGAAAGGAGGTGACAAAAGTCATGATGCTGGCCCTCTTGCATTTATCATTTTTCACCATTCTACCTGCAGAAGCCCACCTGATAACAATGGGAATGGGGTAGTCCATGGTACCTTGTCTCTGAAGAAGGGTAAGGGTATCCATACTCTGGTCTCGGCTCCCGGGAAAGCCACACTCACCTCCTCTGCTTAGCATGTTAAGTTTATTACTGAGTCTCAAGAAGGATCCCCGGGAGTGCCCTCTGGCACTGTAGCCTGAATTGTAAAGATGCAGCGATGTCCCCAGGACTGTCCTCCTAGTCTAAGGCTTGGCGGTGAAGGCTAACTTTTTTGTTCTGCCTCGTCCTTTGACAATAATTGAATTCTGTTCACACACACAAGGTGGTGAGAAGTGATGCAGGAAGCTCTCTCCTCTCTCCAACACTGCAGTGTCCCTGGGTTGTAACAGCAGAAGAACTGCAGTAAGCAGGAGGCAGTTCCACCCTGCTGGTTTCCCATGATAAAAGGGCTTTGGGAATCAAAATATGTAGCCCAGCCTCATGGAGGGGGAAAACAACCAGCTCCACCGCACACAAGTGAATTCAATCAACTCATGGAACATAAATTTGCTTGATGTTCAATGTCAGCCAGGTATCTCACAAAGCCCAATATACAGAGTAGGACGCAGAAGGAGCTATGGAAAACCACAAACGCTAATCTGTCCTAGCTTCAGACAGCCTTCCAGCCAGAAGCTATGTGGAAATCATGTGTTGCCCAACTCATTTTGGCAGATTAGTACAATTTTGGTTTAATCTATAACATAAATATGCCCCCTTACAATCTCAGTATGGCATGTTTTGTATTCCTGGATGTGGGTACAGTTAGATTCTGGTTATTACCATTATGTCTAAAAGGCTCATGTTGTAACTAAGCTGAGATGAAGATGAAATACACACTCTTTTTATTTTTTATTTTTTTATTTTTTGAGACGGAGTTTTGCTCTTGTTGCCCAGGCTAGAGTGCAACGGTGTGATCTTGGGTCACTGCAACCTCTGCCTCCCAGGTTCAAGCAATTCTCCTGCCTCAGCCTCCTGAGTAGCTTGGATTACAGGTGTGCGCCACCACACCCAGCTAATTTTGTATTTTTAGTAGAGATGAGGTTTCTCCATGTTGGTCAGGCTAGTCTCAAACTCCTGATCTCAGGTGATCCGCCCGCCTCGGCCTCCCAAAATGCTGGGATTACAGGCGTGAGCCACCGCGCCCGGCCAAAATGCACACTCTTGGAAGAGTTTCACCTTTCACTGCTTGGGCAATTCCCAATGTACACTTATTACCAACATCCTGCTGTGTCTGGGAAGCAGGTGCCTTTGTGTCAACTGAAACAGAACAACTCGCTTTGGCATTTGGCTCTTCAGTAGACAGTATCTAAACGAGCTGCAGCATCAAAACAGGTGTATCAGTTTAACAAACAATAAAAATCCTTTGATTTCTTTTGCTGAAGTGAGGTGTGATCATCAAGAAAGAACTAAGGCATGCGTGACCCCCGCAAGGACGATCTCCATGGCCGACATGCATTCCAATGGCTCTGGAATGTGAGGCGTTGCCTCACTATTTCATTCCTGCACTGGTAGACAAAGCTCAGATCTTCAGAGCTGGAAGAGGATTCTACCTGCCAAATCTCAGGGTTCAGGTAGGTGTATAATGGCGAAAATGCTCTAAGACTCAGATGTGAGCCTCAGTCACCCCTCTGCTGCTAGCATGACTTTGGACAAACCCCAAAGTCTCTCTTTCCCTTGAGTGTTTTGGCAGTAAAATGAGGATAATAAAACCTTCCCTGACTACGAGCTACCTCATAAGGCTGCTGTGATGAACAAACGAGGTGATAGTCCTCGAGGAGCCCAGCAAATTGTAAGGCATTATTTAAGCATCAGGTATGACAGTTAGTATATTTCCCTCATGGAATATCATGAAGGGAGCAAGGTGACCAGAAAATCATCCTGCAGCATGTCCTAGTCCATTTCTTTCCCAGTCACTGGAGGTGAGTGGTGCAGAGATGTGGAGGCCGCAGTGGGTGGATGGGGCCCCAGGACAGGCTTCAGTGGAGCCACTGAACGGGGGTTTTCTGGCCACCCAGCCAAAGCCCTGCAGCTTCTCCATCATGGTGGCCTCTGAAGATGTCACTCCAACCAAGCATGTGCTCCAGAGAGCCTTGCATTAGGAGCCAAGAGACTTTGTCTAAGTCAGTTCGGGCTGTTGTAACAAAATATCACAGACTGGGTGGCCTGTAAATGACAGAAGTTTATTTCTCACAACTCTGGAGGCTGAGAAGTCCAAGATCAAGGTGCCAGGATGGTCAGAGGTGAGGGACCTCTTCTGGGCTGCAGGCTGCCAATGTCTTGTGTCTTCACATGGAAGAGAGCTCTCTAGGGCCTCCTTTCTAAGGGCATTAATCTCATTCCTGGAGGTTTCACCCTCATGACCTAATCTCCTCCCAAAGGCCC
Source organism: Homo sapiens (assembly GCF_000001405.40). Lineage (NCBI taxonomy): Eukaryota > Metazoa > Chordata > Mammalia > Primates > Hominidae > Homo > Homo sapiens. Next base: position 33,584,002 of record NC_000011.10, on the reverse strand, counting down.
TATCTCCTAATACCATCATATTGGGGGTCAGAATTTCAACATATAAATCTGTGGACCACAACGTTCAGAACATAGCAGACCTTATTCTACCATCAGTTCTGCTACTTACCAACCATATGACCTTGAAAGAGTTACTTTTCATGGGTGAAAGGAGGGAGTCTGATTACATTATCTCTAAAATCCCTTTCATGTCTCTTTAGCTTGTAGTTTTCTATGCCTCGGTTTCCTCATCTGTAAAATAATAGTACTTCCTCCAAGGGCAGCTGTGAGAATTAGAGAGCTGCTGTATATAAAACACTTGGAAGCACTGATGGCCGAATGGGCATCAGATAACCACAAACCATCAGGTCCTGAGACTAAAAGGAAGGATCTCCTTCAAAATGAGGACCTGCCCTGATGTTTCTGCAGGCTCTGGCAATGGCCTCAAAAGGCAAGAGGGAAAGGCAGGCTGAGCTCCTGCAGGCCTGTCCTCCTGCCCCTCTCCCCACCACTTCCATATACCTTTGCTCTCTGCGGCAGGTTTATCATGGTGTCAGGCTTGAAGTCGTTCTTGTTCTTCCTGCAGAGCACGGCAGTGATGATGATGATGATGACCGTGACCACGGCAATGGGCGCCAGCACTGCAGCGATGATCCACAGGTTATTGGGCGGGTTCTTCACCACGGCTGTGGGAAAGAGCCAGCAGGAGGGACATGACAAGCAACACTGGGAAGAGGAAAGCAACCCAGACATAACCCCCCACCCCAGTCCCAAGTCCTGGACAGAAGGACGTGGGAGGTTAAGAGGGTTTGGGGTTAGAAAGCCTCCACCTCCGCAGCTGTGTGACCTTGGGCAAGTGGCTTAAGCTCCCTGAGTCTCAGTTTCCTCATCTGTAAAATGGGCTGTCACTTTGTAGTGTTTTTGGTGTGGTCTCTAGTAGTTGCTCAGTAAATGCTAGAGTTCACTACTACTGAGAGGAAGAGGAGAAAAAGATGGATCAGTAACAATTTTCCCCAGGGGTGACATCCACAAGTCAAAAGAAAAGTGAAGCTGAGAAATGTGCAGATTAGAAATGTGTGCTGGAATCAAGAGGCAAAAGCCACAGAGAAATGACTCTCAATATTGTAGTGTAGTCACCCTGAGAGTGAGCAACGAGTAAAATGTAACATGAGCAGATGGATCTCCCCCAGAATAGCTGGCTGGGAGCTTGGAAATGCCTCGGTCTAGTCAAAAGACTCAGGCTGTTCTCAGAACCAGAGTAAAGAAGAGCAACCAAAGTGAGTGGCAGCAGGAAGAATGTGCTATTAAAACAGTAGGTGTCTCAGGGCAAGGGGGCTGGGATGAATTAACTGGAAAGGGCAACAGGGTGATGGTCATGCTCTGTAGTATGATAGAGAGTTGGGTTACATGGGTGTATACATTTGCCAAAGCTCATCCTATGATTTACTTGAGACAGGAAAAAGTATTGACAAGTTAAAAGGAGAAGTTCCTTCTCCATGGTAGGTTTGGTCTGTAGTTTAAATTAATATATTGGCAATCTAGTTTATACATCAAACTCTTGTAAGCCTGGTTAGCATGAGTTGGTCCTCCTGATCCTGCTGAACTTGGGGGCTACTAGGCAAAACTGAGGCCCAGACCCTAGAATATGAACATTCCACCAGTAAGTGCCACGTGGTGAGACCTGCCTGAGGAGCCAGCCAGTCTTCCTCTCTGATTTCAACCAAGCCCTGACATCAAGTGGTTCCTCATTAGCCAAGATCTACCTCTCATTTGGCTGCCCTTAGGCTCAGAATACTATTAGTACAGAAGAGCTTCTTCTCCACAGTTTTTATCAATCGGTGATTAATCACATTATTAACTTCTGAAAACAGCTCATTAGATAATATGTTTCTGTTGACATTAAACACTTAATTGCTCCTGCTTTTAGTAATTCAGTATTTATATGTGAGTATTCTGTCATTAACATAGAGCTTATAGCTTCTGTGAAAAATATCTGTATGCCTCTTTATCATTATTTTATCCTGATGGAGAAAAATGTACAGTATATCAGTGTATACCCTAAATAAATACATGCTTTTTTTTATTAGCAAGAATGTTCAGCTTTTACCCAGTTTTATTGTTTTAGTGGAGGTGCTTCTTCTTGGTGCAGTATGTAAAATCCCCTCACCTTCATTTACATAAACAGAACAGATTTTATCTTGGACACATTAATAAATTCATTTAACAGTCAAAACAAGAGTAAAGTTAGGTCAACTGAAGTCATCCAAACTCAATGTTGTGTTCATTGGCGTAATTACCTAAAAGTACAAAGTCATGCCTAAAGGTGAAAAGGAATGAAGGGTTATTTAAATTGCAAGAATTTCAGTAGAGGACTGATAGGAAAACCCATTTCCCGAGTGCCTACTGTGTGTTAGGCGCTGTGATAGGTCCTTAGCCTGCATGCTTTTCTCATCCCCAATATGCTGATGAGGAAACTGAGACCCAGAGAGGTCAAACGTTTCTATGAAAAGTCACTTCTCTGAAATAAACAGTTAAAGTCGGTTCCGAGTTAACACACATGAATAGAAGTGTGTGCTTATGTGCAAGCGTAAACACACACACACACACACACACACACACACACACAATTTGTCAGAAGGAATGAAGTCAAACAGTCCAAATAATCTAATACAAAATAAATTATTCTCACGTACAGCAAATGTTGAAAGGAGAAGGCATCCATTCAAGTGTTTCCAGTTTGTTTTTGTGGCCGTCACCTATGTCTCAAATATTAGAGCTCATAACTGGGGTGACTGGATGCAGGGGAGAGTCCTCCCAGGGTCCAGTGGATGGCTAGTGCTCAGTCCACGTGGTTCTCCCACCAAACCCTCCTGTGGCTTCTCTTCCCAGTGGGGTCCCAGCCCGTGAGGCCCTAGTGACCATGGCCGCTCTTCTGTGCCTCTGACCTCACAGCTACGACTCTGCTCCCTCAATGACCTCGATGCTAGGTGTCAGACTGTCTTCTCCCTGCCTGGAACCTGGCCCCCAGATATCCTCAGGGACCCTTGCCTCCCTCCCTTTCTTCAGGTGGTCACTCAAGGGTTACTTCCTCAGTGATTCTCTTCTTGACCCCCCAACAATTTAAAATTGCAACCACTATCTTCTCAACATGCCCTAGCCCTTCCCTGCCCAATTTTCTCCATAGCACTAATTAGCGTCAAACATGTTACTTATTTATTTAGTTTCTTTGATCTGCCCACCCTAGAACATAAGCTCCATGAGGGCAGGGATTTTTGTCCACTTCATTCACTGCTCTATCTCCAGTGCCCAGAGCAGTGCCCTGCACATAGTAGGTGCTCAATAAATATCTGTTAAAAAAGTGAATGAGCATGAGTCCTCTTTACCAGAGGGTCAGCCTATTTCTTTAAGTGGCTTTTTTTTTCTTTTCTTTTCTTTTTTTTTTTTTTTTTTTTGAGGCAGAATCTCACTGTGTCCCCCAGCCTGGAGTAATGGCACGATCTCGGCTCACTGCAACCTCTGCTTCCCAGTTTCAAGCCATTCTTGTGCATCAGCCTCCCAAGTAGCTGGGATTACACGCACCCACCACCATGCCCAGCTAATTTTTTTATTTTTAGTAGAGACGGGGTTTCTCCGTGTTAGCCAGGCTGGTCTCAAACTCCTGACCTCAGGTGATCCACCCACCTCAGCCTCCCAAAGTGCTGGGATTATAGGTGTGAGCCACTGCGCCCAGCCAAGTGGCATCTTTTCAGATAAATGTCTGGTGGCCATGTAAAGCAAACCACTTCCTGCTCTGGTATGCTTCTCCTTGGGGTGAATTTTCCCTATTCCATCAGCTGGATAACAACTCTGAAGTGCCTCTCACTCCAGACCCTGCAAATGGACCAGATGCAAACCTCTAGCTGCCTAAGTCAAATGCTGCCTTGTCACCCAGAGGTGATGGGGTGAGTCACGTGGGCACTGCATGCTCCAGTCTTGGCCCTAGAATTAGTGATTTAGAAGGCTCTGGAACACACAGAATGCAGAAACTCTCCCTTCAGAGAGACAAAGTATTCAACACTGTGACTCTCTATTCAAAGTCCTGACCTCAGATGAACATTGTAGGCTGATCTTGAAACTACTGGGAGAAAATGGGATTTTAAAGATCTCTGCCCTCTTCTCCTTCATTGGCCTTATCTTCGTCCTCATCAGCTCCTGGGGTGGACATATTTCCCAGAGGACATCCTCTTGCTTTCCTCTTCCATCCACTAGCTACGTTCCTTCACCAGGCACTCATATTTTCCCCAGGATTTTAATTCTAATCTCTATCTACAGAATCCTCAAGTCTATAGCGTTACCTTGATTCTCTCTCCAGAGTTCTAGGCTTGAATTCCCAACACCTTTCTTAACCTTCCTAGGATATCCTATCACACCCTTGATATCCCATCAGTGTCCCCAGTCCTGGGGCACCTGTTAAGCACATAGTAAGTGGGAGCTGAATCTCCTTTATCCGTGAGGCCAGAGGACTACAGGAGAGAAATGAAGAAGAAAGGAGATTTGAAGGTTGAGAAGAACCCATATAATACAGAGAAGAGGGTGCAACTAATGAAGATGGAAAGGGGACTGGAGAGGAGAGGCATTGTTAGAAGGCAGAAGGTAATTTATTGTTTGAGCTGTGTGGAGTTTAAGGGGATGATGACACATATCACAGGGATGCCCGTGGGATATTGTCGGGTGTTGCTGGAATACCGACGGAGAGATTCAGCTGCCACTTACTATGTGCTTAACAGGTGCCCCAGGACTGCACCAAGCCCTTTACAGGCAACAATTATCTCTTTTAATCTCCTATGTAGCTCTCTTAGGGAGGTGTTTTTATACTACCATTTTACAGGTGGGGAAAATGAAGGTCAGAGAGGCTAATTAACTTGACTCCAAGCTCCATAACTAGAAAGTGGAAGAGCAGGGGCTGGGCCTGGGTTACCTTATTTCAAAGGCTCTTCTCTCAAGTGCTATGGTGTCTCCTAACCACATGCCTCTCTCGGCACCTAGCAGAGGCATCTGGTGAAGGGTGGTTCCTTTGCCTTCACAAGAATAGAACCAGGAAGGAACTGGAGCTAGATCTTCCAAGATGAATGAGATGCGGCACTTGCTTTTAAAGAGCTCATGAGGGAGAGAGACAGACAACAACTGTTATGGCCCAATGTGAGGAGGGCAATGGGAGCTCCTGGAACCAAGGGAGACAGAGGGCTGTGCCTCAGGCGCCAAGGAAGGCTTCAAGGAAGAGGGAACATGCAGGATGAAAACCCCTATGTGGCTTTAGATATGAAGGAGAGAAACGCAGGCCACACGGCTGGAAAAGCAGCCTGAGACCAAGCTGTGCAGTCCTGAAGGCTTGCTGGGTGCACCTGCTGTGAAGACAGGAGTTTGGATTTTATTCTGTGAATGATGGGAGCCAGCAAGTATTTTTCTAAAATGGAGTCAATGTAAGATCAGAATCTACGTTTTATTACAATGACTCTAATTACAATGTAGAAGGCACATTAACGGGAGGTTGAGTCACTTTGGAAGCTACTGCCATGGTCCAAGTGGGAGAGAATGATGGGATGGACAAAAGGAAATGGATTTGTGAGTGACTGTGGAAGGGAACTGAGAGGACTGAGTGGATTTGAAGGAGACAAAGGAGTGAGGCTGGAAGGGTCAGAGGGTGGCAGCCTTGGAGCCTGGCCAAACAGAGTTTGAATCTCGACTCTCTTGAGTGACAGCTGAGCCTCCGGGGCCATCCCTCACCTCCCAGACTCTCACTCCGAAAAGCCTCCATGAGTCTAACCTGATAGGATCTCTCTCTCCTGTCCTAGCCCCTGACCCCGTCCACTGCTCCCATCAACTGCCACCAGCAAAGTCCCTTAGCCTCACCCGGTCCTCCTGACACTCCATTCACAGCTGCTCACCATGAAGCCAGCTCTCCTTTTCATGCCCGTCCCAAGTACCTCAAGGCCTGGGGTGGCCTTGAGGAGTGAAGGAAGCGAGTCTTGGCTAAAAATGTCATTTTGAGAATAAGACTATAGACAGTGACCATCATAGAACTGTCATGGAACTGACAGGCCAAAGTGGCAGATGGCCGGAACAGAAGTGTTAGAGAGGAAGAGACACTGAGCCAGGTGCATAAATCTCCAGTGAGTGATGGGGGCCTCTTGGGGCCCTGAGGTGACTGCAGCGAGGAAGGGGAGCTTCAAAGGACCTGGGATTGAAAAAGAGAAGAAGTGGTGTGGACACAGCCATGAGGATTAAGGAGAAGCGGAGCCCTGTCAATCTTCCGGCACTTTTTGGGCAGTTTGCTCTGCCATTCTCCGTGTGTATTACCACACACCCCAGCTGAAATCCACCCCACACACCTCGATTTCAGCTGCCGACTTCATTTCATTATACCCAAGAGAGCAGAAACAATCGGAGACAGCGTCCGCAAGCTTCCATCACCAAGTGTCCCCCGTACTCCACTTTCTCCTCATTAGAAAGGACCAGCTGTCCCTGCGGACCCCTTCACCCGTGCACCAGATCCCATTGCCTCATTCATTGACAGATTTTGCACCTACAATTCCTGCCTCTCTCTTCTGCATTGTCAGCTTCTCCCTCTCCATGACAGCATCCTCTCAATATTCAAACACACACCAATTCAAGCTTTCTAGCTTTTGTTTGGGTTCTCAATGCCTGGAATGCCATACAGCCCCTCCAGCAACTGCCTCAGAAGATTTCCTCTCTTTTGCTGTCACTGCTTCCCCACACCTTGTTCTTCTTCTCAGCCCATTTGGTTGCAAAACCACTCCTGCTAAGGTCACAACCTCCAATCCCCTTAATCTCTACCCTGTCATGCCCTGCCTCTTGGGAATATAAATCGACACGCAGTTCTCTCCCTCCCGTGAGATCTGCTGTCCTTGCTTGCATTCTGAACCCCACACTCTCCTCCCATCTCCCTGGCTGCTCCTGGTCAGTGTCCTCTACTCACTCTCACTCTTCCCATATGTGGATTCCCCAGGGCTCAGTTTCCCTTTTCTCTCTAGCTAAACCCACCTGGTTATTCTCACCTATTCCCTTAGCTCTAAATGTCACCTATATGTTGATGATTCCTGAGTTTATGTCTTCTGAGATCCACGTGGATGTCTAGTAGACATCTCACACCTAACACGTCTACAACCAAACTCCCAGTTCCATCTCCCCTGTTCCCATCCCAACCCCACTTATCCTCTTTGACCTGCACCTTCTGCATCTCAACAAATGGCACCACAACCAATGCTCAAGCCAGCACCTAGGAGTCATCCTTGATTCCTCTGAGCCCCGCTTCCTTCCCTGGCTACACACAGAATCATTATCTTGCGCCGTTGACTCTGTGCCCTGAAATATCCCAAATCTGTTCACTTCTCTGAATGTCCACTTTTAGTACCTTCAGCTCTCGCCTGGACACCTGCAGTGGTTTTCACTCCTGTCCTCTATGATTTATTCCTCACCTGGAGAGAGGGAGAAAGAGCTGAGAACAGAAAACTCTGGAGTCCACATAAAGAGGATGCGGCAAAACAGATGAAGCAAGCTGTTGAGCAGATGAGGACGGAGCCCACAGGGAGGGAAGGGGAGAGGTGCAAAGGAAAAGAATCTTGGTTAAAATTGTCACTTTGAAAAACAAGATTGCAGAGAGTGACCATCGTCATTCCTAGACAAAGTTGTGTCTGTGAGGATATGCCGGCCGAGCAAGACAATACAAGGTCAGGACCATCATCCTGGAAGCAAAAGTCAACTGGATAAAGACAAGAGCTGAGCAGGAGAGGAAGACCATGAGCCAGGTGTCAGGGACTTAGGCAACACGGACATGAGCTAGGAAAGCAAACCCATAGGAGATGACCTTTCCTGCCTTCCATGCTCAGTATGCTGCCAAATACTAAAATTTCTACCACCTAATCTCTCACCTTCATACCCTTTCCCCTTCCCCCACTCTCTTTATAGCTTTTGTTTGGGTTCCCAATGCCTGGGACGCCACAGAGCCTCCTCACCAGTCCTGCCACTTCCTGTCTGCTCCCATCCTAGACACTGCTGACCAATTAAGCTTCCTAAAAATGGGCAGTTCCAATGATATTACTCCTTAGCTCAGAAATCTTCATCAGCACCCCACAGCTGATCAGAGTGTGTACTATCTCCTTCCCTGTCATTCAAGGCCTTAGTCTCCGGATCAATACACCTTTCCAATTCCCTTAACTCTTCCATGGGTGTCAGCACCCCAGGCAATCTGAACTCATTTTTCAAGCACACTTGGTACTTTTCACCTCCATTCTTTCGCTCATGCTGCCCTCTCTTTCTGGAATACACACACCTTCTTCTCCCTCTGCTGAAATCTTCACGTGTCATATAGTTAAGAACACAGGTTCAAAGTCAGACAGATCTAGATTAATATCCGGGCCACCTAAGCACTTGTTCTGTGATGCCGAGCAGGTTATTTCATTTTTCTGAGCCTCAGTTTCCTTTCCTGTGGTTTAGATCTGAGTAAACACTGCCCCAATGAGAACAGAAAGTGAGAAAATCTAGGTGAAGTAACTCGCATAGCAGCTGCCACAAGGGAGGGTATTCAAAGAGACAGCTATTATTTTTAACATCCTTCCTCTGCTCACTCTTTCCAGATGCCCCTTCGAAGCAAACCCTCCCTCTGCTGACCCCCTAACACACACTGCCTTTTACAGCACTTTCCTATGTTGTGTGCCACTGCACCTGCATTAAGTCTCCCTGCTCCTTAAGGGCAGGAGCCAGGTCTCGCCCACTTCCATACATCCTCCAGCACTAAGCGACTTCATGTAGAACTTTACAAATGTTTGTTGAATCAGATTATCTTTAATTCCCCTGGCATACAAAAATAATCTCAGCTATAGTGATTTTCATAGCTGTTCACTAGATTATGCTGAGGAAGAAGGGTGGGTAGGACTTGGGGGCAAAGTAATATCATTACCATCCTTCCAGTATCTAAAACATATCCCTTATTGCTTGAAACAACACAGAAACATAGCTGATTGATTTAAGAACCTTCCAGAATACAAATATGTTTAGCTCTGAGACCATTAACATGATTTTGGGGAATCATTTTGATTTTCAGGAAACATTTAATGGCATTAAAAAGACTGAATAAAAAGACCATTCCCTTACGGTCAGCTTGCAGAAGGACAACGTGATGAAGGGTCAAGGCCATCCTTTGGGAATCAATGGTGCTCAGGATCTTGGCAGCTGCGGTCCCCAACAAAGGCTTCCCGTTGTACAGGGTATAGTAAGTCAGCTCCGCTGGGTCCTTCGGGCCTGGGACACGCTGCATCTTCACCATCTTTCGGAAAAAGAGAGGCCGAGTGTTTGCAGGGCATTTTGCATGGACCCTGCAATCACCCAGGTGATCAGCAGATGTTCCTCTCCTGACTGCTGAAGACTTCTGTGGCTAGACGCCAACCTTCACATACCTCCCTATATCCAGCCTCTCAAGAAGCCTGCTCTCGCTGGAGCAGGAGACTGGGAGGAGAAAAAAGGTTTGAAAAATACGAACATCTGGAAAGAACAGTTTGTGGTTGGAGAAGAAAACACAGGATAGTGATGTCTCCCAGCATCCACAGAACTCTGGCCTCATTTGAAAATAGGCCTCTGCATTTAATTCAGGGCATGTTAGGTTATTCTCAAACACGACTGTTAAATTCAAATGTCTGTAATTGCCAGAAAGGGAGAAAAATTAACTTATATGTCTGCAATTCAAAAGATCTCTGATAAAAACACTACTTGGAAACCCAATGTTCTTTTTCTAAAATAACGGTTTTGCTTTTTTTTTTTTTTTACCTAAAAGTTATACATATTCACTATAGGAAAATTTGAAAATATGGAAAAACATCAAGAAATAAAATAAAAACAATCTGTAATCCTTCTATCACAAGCTAATTACTGTTGCCATTATAGAGTATTTGCTTCCATTCTTCGTTTTTGCCCACACAACCCTTTTCCTTATTAGTTTACAAAATTATTTGTCATAGTCTATATACAATATTTTGCAATTTTTACTTGCATCTTTAAAGGACCTTAAATATAACAAAAGCATAAACGTTTATTTTTACATGGCATTCTGATGCATACCTCATAAACTTATTTAAACAATCCTTTATTAAGCATTTAGACTGTTACTAATTTTTTACTACTGTAATTAACAATTGATAATCATAAATACTAAAACTTAAGTTTTAATACCTACATAGTGTTCTACAGTACGCATGCCTGGTAAATCAAACTAACCCTTGATTATCGAACATTGGTTATCAACTTTTTGCAGTTATAATGGACAAATCATAAATAGTATATAGTATTTTCCAAAGTTTATATTACAGATTATGAGTTTCACAGGATATTAAAAGACTTTACAAAAATGTTTATAGCAACATTGTTTATAACAGTAAAAAGACTAAAAATTCAAAAGTTGTTAATAATTGGTTGGATAATGAGCTACTGTATACTCACATGATGACATACTATAGTGTAGTGGTGAAAATGAATAAACTATGGCTATTTGTATCATTATGGATGAATACAAAAGCCTGATGTTGAGCAAAAGGAACAAATCACAAAATATAAAGTTAAAAGTTAAGCAAAACTACATAATATACTATTTAGAGATACAGGCGTGGATGGTAAAATCTATACAAAAAATATGGGAATGATTTAATACAAAATTCAGATTCACTCTAAACTCTGAAGAGGGAAGAAGGGAGTACAATCAGAGAAGACATATAAAAGGCTATTGGGATAAGGTAAGGGTAATGTTCTTACCCTTCAGGTTGTGGATTCTTTTTATTAGTGTCCTTTAAATTCTGCATCTTTCTTATACTGTTTTGTGTATATGCTATACATAACAATTAAAAAAGATATTATTACAACCCAATAGAAAATGGGCAAAAGAGCTGATCAGACACTTCACAAAGGAAGATGTCTGAATAACCAATTAGCACATAAAAATGCTCAATGGGGAAATTCAAATTGAAACCACAAGAGACCACTCTATACCCACCAGCACGGCTAAAGTAAGAACTGACAACACCAAGTGTTGATGAGGAAGTGAAGCAACTGGAACACCTGTCTGTTTGGTGGGAGTGCAAATGGTGCAACCACTTTGAAGAAAGGTCTGGCAGTTTCCTATAGAATTAATGTACACCAACCCTAAGAACCAGCAATTCCAGCCTATATAACTAAGATGAGTGAAAGCCATGTGGTCACCAAAGGACTTGTGGAAGAATGTTCACAGCAGCCTTGCTTAATAGCTACAAACTGGAAAAGCCCAGGTGTATACCAACAGAAGAATGGATAAACAAACTGTAGTATATTCATATAAGAGAATATTATTCAGCAAAAAAATTGAATAAACTACTGAATAACACAACAACATGGATGAATGTCAAAACAATACACTGTGTCAAAAAAGCTTTATACAAAAGAGTATGTACTGTAGGATTCGATTTATATGAAATGCTAGAATGTCAAAATCAATCTATGATTTAGAAGTATATGAAAATATATGTTAAGAAAACCTTATGGAAGTGTTTGGAAATGATATATGTAATCAAATATAAAATAGTAACAGTATAATGTCAATTGTAGAACCTAGATAGTGATATGGGTGTTGACTATAATTTTATCAACTTTTCTACAAGTTTGAAAATGTTGGCCAGGCACAGTGGCTCATGTCTGTAATCCCAGCACTTTCAGAGGCCAAGGTGGGTAGATCACTTGAAGTCAGGAGTTCGAGACCACCCTGACTAACATAGCAAAACCCCATCTCTACTAAAAATACAAAAATTAGCTGGGCGTGGTGGCACACACCTGTACTCCCAGCTACTCAGGAGGCTGAGGCAGGAGAATCGCTTGAACCTGGGAGGCGGAGGTTGCAGTGAGCTGAGCTCACACCACTGCACTCCAGCCTGGGCGACAGAGCGAGACTTTATCTCAAAAAAAAAAAAAAAGTTCATAATAAAATGTTGGGACTATATAGATATTACTTAAAAACAAGGGCTTTTTGACGTTTAAACTTGGAAACCAGCATGTTGAAGAAAATTAAGGAGATGTCTTTACTTCAGGTCTTTTCAGAGCTTTGGTATGCAAATAGGCTTTGGGACTCTTCAAGAAGGGGCTTTAGGATGCAGCCTTGCCCAAACCGATTTGGCCAGAGAGCCCCTTTTCAAAAGAACACTTGATAAGATCATGATATAGTATGAATACATGTCCTCTCCAAATCTCATGTTGAATTGTGTAATCCCAGTGTTGGAGGTGGGTCCCGGTGGGAGGTATTTGGGTCATGGAGGCAGCTCCCTCATGGCTTGGTGCTGTCCTCGCAGTAGTGAATGAGTTCTTGTGAGATCTGGTTGTTTAATGTGCGTGGAGCCTCCCCCCACCCTCTTTCTTGCTTCTACTCCTGCCATGTGAGACCTGCTCCGCCTTCATCTTCTGCCATGCTTGAAGCTTCCTTAGGCCTTTCCAGAAGCAGATGCTAACACTATGCTTCCTGTACAGCCTGCAGAACCATGAGCCAGTTAAACCTCTTTTCTTATAAAGTACTCAGTCTCAGATATTTCTTTATAGCAATGCAAGAACGGCCTAATCACTTTCTAGACACTCTCCGGAAAACACTATCCTCACTCTTTTGTCTTTGTGTTCACCTGTGTGTCCTTGTCCTCAAGATGAATTTCTTTTCTTTTCTCTTTTGAGACAGTCTTGCTCTGTCACCACAGAGTCTCGCTCTGTCACCAGGCTGCAGTGCAGGGGTGCAATCTCAGCTAACTGCAACCTCCACCTCCTGGGTTCAAGCAATTCTCCTGCTTCAGCCTCCCGAGTAGCTGGGAGTACAAGTGTGCACCACCATGCCCAGCTAATTTTTGTATTTTTAGTAGAGACGGAGTTTCACCATGTTAGCCAGAATGGTCTCCATCTCTTGACCTTGTGATCCACCTGCCTTGGCCTCCCAAAGTGCTGGGATTACAGGCGTGAGCCACTGTGCCTGGTCGAGATGAATTTCTAGGAGTCAGTTTGTGATCATCTAAGAGTTTCTTGTCTAAATTCCTCCAGAAAAATCATACCCAGTTGCTCTGTTTGAAAGTGCCCTTTTCGCTCCACACTCATCAATACTGGATCTTAGTATTTTACTAATCTTTGGTAGGTGAAAATGGCATCTTGTGGTAGTTAAAACTTGCCTTACTTCGATTACAAATTAAGTCAAATATTTAAAAATTTTTAGTGGTCACATGTTTTCTCTTAGGCCTCAATTTTTCAAATATGTCAACTTAAGAAATATCTTTAGATTCTAGACAGTTAAATCTCCATATTCATGAAGGTAGCTCATCTTTTAAAATGATCTAAGCCTAGAAGAAAGGCCTCAGGGTAGAAGGATATTGTAACCCACGTAGAGTGAATTTTTTGGGGGAAACTGGGGCATGTTATTCCTTTCCCTAGTGGGAAAGGAGGTGGGGAAAGTGTTAGTAGAATCTGGTAGAAGTTGAATGACCATTCAAATATCTAATAGTTTCTCTCAGTTTCAACTTAATAGCAAATTCCTCCTGCCAAGATTTCCTTAAGGGTATGTTACAAGGTGATCTACACCCTCTGTAAATCAGGGATTTGCAGAAATAAACCCCCACCCGCTTCCCTCAGACTTTCCAGGCAGCTAAAGGGGCCAAGTGCACTGAGCTCTTAGAAGAAATGAGAGAAGGCTGGACGTGGTGGCTCACACCTGTAATCCCAGCACTTTGGGAGGCTGAGGTGGGTGGATCATGAGGTCAGGAGTTTGAGACCAGCCTGAACAACATGGTGAAATCCCAACTCTACTAAAAATACAAAAACTAGCTAGGCATGGCAGTGCGCACCTGTAATCCCAGCTATTCGGGAGGCTGAGGCAGGAGAATCGCTTGGACCCGGGAGGCGGAGGTTGCAGTGTGCCAATATTGTGCCACTGCACTCCAGCCTGGATGACAGAGTGAGACTCCGTCTCAAAAAAAAAAAAAAAGAGAGAGAGAGAGAGAGAAAGAACACCTCTCTGGGCCCTTTGGCATGCAAAATGTGTTAGGTTTCTTAGGTTTACAAATAACACCAGGGTTGTAGGGTGGCCCCTTCTCCCCCTTTGGCTGATGCAAATCCCAGTTCCATTATCTGAGCACCAGTGACTTTCTTCCTGTCATTTGGAAAAGTGGAAATTATAGAGCTCACATGGAACCTACAAAGGAGAAATCACAAACCTGACACGCAAGCTTAACCACCGCTTTACCTCGTGGTAAGGTCATCTCAGACCACAGAGACTTTTAGAACCAAAGCAACATCCAATAGGACAAACGGCCAAATTCACCAACTGCGAATGGAGGGACCTGGAGTCTCCATCAGGGGCATGATGATGACTCATGCGGGGAAGTGTGTTCATTAAGATGGGTTGTCTATACTTTCAAGATTGCCTGGAGACAGGATTTGCACACAGACTATGCTAATGGCTGCAATTTCCCTTAAAATGCTTACTCTTAGACAGTGTGATACTATGCATGTGTGCTATGGTTCAGTTACACCCGAGATGTGGTCAATCATCAATCAGGGGTTCACATGCCAGGGGTAGTCTGCTCAATTCCAGGTAGGAAGTCCCCACTCCAGAGGCAGCTACCAGGAGTGCTTCTCTAATTTGACATCATGCTCAACAGAGCTTTGTTAATTAGCACAACAAATGTTAGACATGAGTTCTCAGTGGTGACAGTGCAATTCAAGATAAGCAGACCTGGCTAGAATACACCAGAGAGGCTCCCATTCTTGCAGGAACTGGCTAAAGTTTCTAGAAAGGTTTAGAATCTCTACTCCTGGGGATGGCTACTGCCTTGATTGGGTGCCCTCAGAAGTAGACCCTGAGAAGAGCTGAGCGCTTCTAGTTTATCTGAGAGGTGCAACGAACTGGCAGGAGGGTGAGGAGGTAATACAAGAATGGGAAGGAGCCTACAAGGGATGCGTTATTAAGCCAGTTACTGCAGTCAATGACTAAAGCTTAATTCTGTGGGAAAGCTCTGAAAATGATCTAAAACATACATTTCAGAATTCTCCCAGCCAAGAGAACCAGGGTATTTATAATACTGGTAATTCTCAGGCACTTCCAACCAGCATGGCATGGGCAAAGCAGGTTTTGACATCTCAAAAGTAAGCCCTCTGAAAAAGATTCAGAGGCTGGCTGTTGGAACTCCAACTGGAATGCACAAAAATGGTAAGGGGATGTGGGCTGGATACAGCTAGTGTCTGCTACATTCCTCCAGCCTAAATCTCTACGTGGCCAGGTGTCCACTATAAGCTTGGAGGGTTCTGTTTGTTGAAACTGACTACATACAGGTAACAGAATCCTGTCTCTGGAATAATGGTGCATCTGCTATTCAGAGGAATGGAGGTGAGAGGGTCTAAAAGGACAGAGAGCTGGGACTTCATTGAGCTTACTGAACAAGCTGATGATGAGTCTGTCCTTGCTTACCAAGAATTTTTTGTTTCAAAAATATCTGCATGAGTACAGATTTTGTACCGAGACTTCCTTGTGTTATAACCTAGTTAGTGACAATGTCGGAAGAGCAGCAAACTCTCACCCTCCTTCATGTTTTTGATGGTTATGACCGTCAGTTCCCAAAACCTAAGAGCAGCCTTGATAAAATGGCTTAGTCAGTTGGCAGCATGGAGGCTCCTCTGAGCACACTGACTTATTTAGTCTCAGGAAGCACATCCCCCCCTCTACCCCCAGTTATTAGAAAACCCCAGTGGCTCTGTATACACCTACCTGCACAGTGTAGCTTCCCAGGGTGGTGGCCCGTTTAAACCGCCGGCCTTGTTGCTGGGACATCATGAATAGCTGGGCCAGGCGCTGCTCCATGACCCGGGCAAAGCTCTGGTTGTGCAGGCCCACCAGCGAATTGTCCACACCCTGCAGCACTGTGGATGCAGAAGGCAGAGCAGAGGCTCAGAAGGCAGACTTTCTGCTGATTCAGTAAGCACAAGCACCACTGACCCTGCACAGGCCACCAAGGGCCACTGTGTCCTACCTCATGTTAGGGCTTGGCCAACCTTACCTCACTTCACCTTCGCGACAGCCCTATGACAATCATTATCCACATGTTATAGATGCTGAAAAGATTAAGTGACTTGTCTGAGGTCACGCAGCTAGCAACCAGCAGAGTCAGGGTCCAAACCCAAGCCAGACTGTGTAACTCCAGAGCCTGGGCTCTTTGCTCTGTGAACTGTGACACTGCGAATGCTGCCGTATTTAACTCAGACTTCACCTAAGATGATGATCTGTGTTGCTAAAAGTCCACATGGGAACACAGCACAGCTGTAGGTATGGCTAACGGGTATTTTTGCTGGTTTCCACTCAAGGTCTGGCTCAGGGCTATTCCTATTTTATTTTGCCTTGTCCCAGCTTGAGCTCCATCCTGCAACTCAATCCCTTATATCTGGGCAGACTACCCTGTTCAGTGTCCTCATCTCTTCCTCCTCTGTGGAGTCCTTTGAATGCCCACCCTAAAGCTACCCAAACCCCTCAGATGCTCTCTCATTCAAGAAGAGGATGGCTGAATGGAAAGAGTGAGCTATCTCTTATGGCACTTGTCAGTTCAGGGACCTCAGGCAAGCCACTGGCCCTCTCTGAGTCCAAGTCCTTCTCTGTAAAAAGGCAATAAGAAAGTGTACATCACAGCCAACATAAGCCCAATGAGCTCTAGGGTTTAAATGAGACAGGATATGTAAAGCAGCTTAGAACACTGCCTGCTGTGAGGAAGGTAAAGGGAACACCCTTCTTGCCCATCCTTTTTCCACCGCTAGGCTTCATCTATAGCCAGGGCATCTGCAGTCAACAGGTAAGGCATGAATGATGGTTTCAGCCATGGCCAGTGCAGGGAGGAGGGTTTTCAGGACCACCAGGGCTGTTCTAGGACTGCTGTGTTCACTTACTATCAGGGCAACTCCCTTTTTCTGTCTACCCTCAAAGTCCAGTCCTTGTTCCACATCCCTTGGGAAACATTCTTCACCCCAAACACACAAAGGCTGCCTTCAAACACGGTCATGTTTAAAATTAAAAATGTGAAAAACAAATCTCATTTTCTTAAAGAGACCAAAACTTGAAAGGGCTGGGAAGATAAGATTTTCCATTATTAATAGAGTTTGTTCTACCAGAGCCCATCCAAGGATCATCGATATCATCCACCTACCAGGATATGGAAATAGCTTGGATGTGAAGAACGCATTGCAGTTATGGCATCCAGTACAACAGGGGGCTACCAGCAGCCAACGCTAATCATCACATTCCATACAAGCCCAGATAACCGGCGACAACAGATACAGAGAATGATGTTTAAATAGATCAAGCGAGAAAGAAAAGTCACAGCTAGGTCTCTGAAATTACTTCTTTGAAGCCATAAATGCCAAATAATCCCCCTGGAGGGTATAAAAGCAGCTCTCTTTCTAGGGCCCTTGTGAGACACTCCCAGCTCATGCATCAGCCTAATTCCTGCAAATTCATAAAACAAAGAGTTGTGCTGTTCCCACTGTGTCAGGTCCCAGAGGACCCCTGGAATCCCTCATGACACAGCTATCAGATCATGGAAGGGCTGGCCCACCTCTTGTCCCCAGACAGAAAAGCCCATGTACTTGCCGGTTCAAAGACGGCCCCTCTAGCAAAATAACAGATCAAATGACTGAAGTATTACTTCTAAGTTGTCCTCTCCTGACCACTGGCCAAGAGTGAGAGAGGGGACACAGGACAGTCGAGAGGTGTCATCAGGGATTATTTTATGGGAATCTCGGTGATGCTTCAAAGGCAGACATCAAATAAAGGGAATAGTCAAAAGCCTCCAGGGGACAAAAAAGTTCTGGAAATAGCAGTGGTGGTTATACAATATTGTGGATATACCTGATCCCACTGGATTGCACACTTAAAAATGTTCAAAATGGTAACTTTTATGTTAGGTATATTTTACAATAAAATTGTTTTCTTTTTTCTTTTGAGGCAGGGTTTCCCTCTATTGCCCAGGCTGGAATGCAGTGGCAGGATCACGACTCTGCAGCCCCGACCTCCTGGGCTCAAGCAATCTTCCAGCCTCTGCCTCCAAGTAGCCTGGGCTACAGGCATGAGCCACCACACTGGCTATTTTTTGTTTTTGTAGAGATGAGGTCTCACTATGTTGCCCACACTGGTCTCAAACTCCCGGGCTCAAGCAATCCTCCCATCTCAGCCTCCCAAAGTGCTGAGATTACAGGTGTGAGCCAACACACCCAGCCAATAAAAATTTTTTTGAAAAAAAAAAAAAAGCCTCCACGGAAGTGCCAGAGGCTGTGGGAATCTCTCACAGAGTTACAGGGGATCAACTGGACAATCTCCACAGCTTTGTCACCACTCTTTGCAAAGAGAATGTGTCCTTCTTAGGGGGCACCTGGGGAAGAGCTGGATTTGGGGGCAGGGCCCTGAGTTTGCCTCCTGGCTTCCCCTTCCTGAGTAGTCTCAGGCAAGTTGCTGAGTTTCTCTATGCCTCAGTTCCTCATCTGAAAACACAGGGATCATAATCTACTACTGATCGTGTCACTGTTAAGAAAGGATAATTCAATAAAAAATGCTTCTAGCCTGGTACTATCATAAGGCCCTTGAGGGAACGGCAATAAATGGTAGCTGCTGTTGTTACGATGTGCCCCTTGTTTGCTAAACACATCCTTACCAGAGGAAGAAAACACCTGCAAGGCATGGAAATGTGTCCCAGGATGTGGCTCCTCCCCCTTCCCCTGAAAAATGTGGCAGGCTCAGGCTCCCTAGCCCTCTCTGTCCACCTGGAAGGCAGCAGAAAGGGGCATGTACCTCTCTCTCTCACAGAGACACAGAAATCACAGAACCATAGAAGCTCAGACCTGGCGCAGACAACCAGGAAGACACCAGCCCCCTAGTGCATCAGCCAGGGCCCTGGTCCCCCAGCCTTGGCCACCCGTGACTCAGCTTAGAGGAGCTGGGCACGTCCCCAGCTGTGTTCAATGAAGCTTTGTCCAGAAGATTCAATGACCTTCACATCGCTGTTCTCTTATTCCTTCTTTATTCACAATCATACTGGGCTCTACAATTCAAGTGATCAGGCCTGGTTCAGCCTTCTGTACTCAGGCTAAATTGTTTTATTTGCAGTTGGATCCTACACATTTAGCACTAAAAGAATCTTAATGCTCAGTTAATACTTCTCCCTCCTCCTACAAAAGGAGAATGTGAAGTCCACATGGCCCAAGTGGCTTGCTCAAGGACACACTAGGTTAGAAAATGGCAGAGCTGAGACCAGAAGAAATTTTTCCATTGCTGGGTCTGGGATATTTTGCCTCTGGTGGGAGAAATAAAGGCAGATGGATAAGCCTGAAATGGGCTGTCCCCTCTGTCTGGCAGCAATATTGAATCTGCACATTTCTATCTTGCCTCACATATACAAACTTCACTGCAGGACCCCTGAGTGGCAGGGTAGCCTCTAGGTTCTCTGTAAAGAGACTTCAGGAGTCACCTTAAGCCAGTGATTTTCCATCAAGAAGGGACCCACCCTCTGAGGCAGGAGAAGTATGTGCAGTTTGCAAAAACCTATTTAATAGTTGGAAAACAGATGAAAACATGTCAGGCTTTTATAATACAAACTATAGAAAAGAGAATTTGCTCCAAATCCTCTTGGCTGTTAGAAATGAGCAGAAGACAGAAAGCCTGTGATGCATGTCTGGGAGTAAAGGCTGAACAAAGCCTCACAGGTCCCTATCCTCTACCCTTTTGGTAAATTATGGGGCAGGTTGGTTGGTGGCTACCCAGGGGTTCAGAAGGTGGTCACAGGTCAAAGGGAAGGCAGGATGATCATCCTAAGACCTGGTTCCAGCCCTTCCCAAGCACTAACCAACTGATCCAGCTAGCCCTAAACACAGTGATGGAAGCCACTGTTTATTCTGAACACCAACAGCAATAACAAATAAGGGTTTCATAAGTGAGTGGGTAGAAGGCTAAGTCTGAGGAGAGTCCTGAAAAAAAGACCTGGAATGGAGCTTTTGATTAAGGTTATGTTACCAAAATAGAGGCACGGCAAGACACGGGTAGATGAAGAAAAGATGACACAAGAGGTTGTCAAGGACAGCCTGTGGTGAAGAGTGAATGAGTTATCATTTAATGTAAACCTTAAAGTTAATAGAAGGGAGGAATATCTCCATGTTAAAAAAAACACCATTCCTTGTAAAGAAAACATGATTTTGTAAATGTTACATAAGCCACTAGCTCCAAAAATGTGTTGCTGGGTTAGCACTGTTTCTCTCTTGGGCATAAACTCTGGTGGGTTGGTTTTTTTGTTTGCCTTCTTAGCAGGTAAAATGATTTCTGCATACCGATGGCTCTGCAGCAGAGGGAAAGAAATGCAATGTTCTGCAATTTAGAAGAGTTCTTGAGCAGGCTTCATCCAGCAGGGGTGTACAGTCCTTAGTATTTTAGGCAGCAGCCCATCTGCTGCTTGCTTGGGACCGCAAGTGAGAGAGGGGATGGGAGAGGACAGAGGGGAGGTTTGGGACCAGGCTGCTTACCCAGGCACATCTTCCATGATGTGCAGGATTTTCCTCCACCCTGTTACAGGCTGACGTGTGTCCCCCCACTTCCAATTCTTTTTTTTTTTTTTTTTTTTGAGACACGGTCTCACTCTGTTGCCCAGGCTGGAGTGCAGTGGCATGATCTTGACTCACTACAACCTCCGCCTCCTGGTTTCAAGTGATTCTCCTGCCTCAGCCTCCCAAATAGCTGGGATTACAGGCACCTGCCACCAGGCCAGGCTAATTTTTTTTTGTATTTTTACTAGATATGTTGGTTAGGCTGGTTTTGAACTCCTGACCTCAAGCAATCCAACTGTCTCAGCCTCCCAAAGTTCTGGGATTACAGGGGTGAGCCATCACACCCGGCCTGTCCCCCCAGATTCCTATTTTGAAGCCCTAACCCCAAGTACCTCAGAACGTGACTGTATTTGGAGACAGGTCCTTTAAAGAGGTAATGAAGTTAGGCCAGGCACAGCGGCTCACACCTGTAATCCCAGTACTTTGGGAGGCCAAGGCGGGCAGATCGGCTGAGGTCAGGAGTTCGAGACCAGCCTGGCCAACATGGTGAAACCCCATCTCTACTAAAAATACAAAAAAATTAGCTGGTTATGGTGGTGTGTGCCTGTAATCCCAGCTACTTGGGAGGCTGAGGCAGGAGAATTGCTTGAACCCAGGAGGTGGAGGTTGCAGTGAGCCGAGACCGCGTCATTGCACTCCAGCCTGAGCCACGAGAACGAAACTCTATCTCAAAAAAAAAAAAAAAAAGAGGAAATGAAGTTAAAATGAGGTCATACTGGGGAGCCCTAATTCAATATGATGGTGTCCTTATAAGAAGAGATTAGGATACAGACAGACCCAGAGGGAAGGGCATGTGAAGACACAGGGGGAAGATGACCATCTCTAAACCAAGGAGAGAGGTCTCCGAAGAAGCCAATCCTGTAACACCTTGGCTTTAGACTTCTAGTCTCCAGGATTGAGAGCAGATAAATGTCTGTTGTTGAAGCCACCCAGTCTGTGGCACTTGCTTATAGCAGTGCCAGTAGACTCATATACTTCTCCTCCTGTTCCTCTCCTTCCTGGCTAGGCTGGCCACTTTTCCTCCTACAAACATCTGTTCTTCAGCTCTCAATCCCGAAACTACTGTCTGGCTTTTGAAAAACACAAAGAAGAACTTTTTTGCTGTTCCATAAAGATCCACAGGAAAATGTCAAGGAACAAAAGAGAAAATGCCACCAAAAGAACCCCTTTCTATTTCCAAACACTCTCACTGTCAAGACCTGCCAGGATTGGTCTGGGTACATGTTGTGCCAGAGGAGAGACGCAAGTGCATGCCCGGCCTTCCTCTAACTTTAATTTGGGTTTTGCAGGGCAGTCCAAAAAGGCTTTCCATCTATAAACTGATAACCATTCACTATAAACTGATGCCCTAGACCTTCTTCGGTTAACATTGTAACTTCTGATAGGGTCACTTTTTACAAAAGAGGACTTGAAAGCTGTTTTGAATTGTTTAGCTAATATTCATCTTCAGTGTGATGTCTTTTCTCATCTCAGCTTACCCCATTCACTTCTGGTCCTGTAGAAGTAACTTCCTGACTTATAAGACAGGAGCAAAGAAAAGTGCCAATCTTATTAATGAATGGCCTACAGTTTAAAAAAAATAAATCAATCTGACAGCATGAAGAGGGGAAATTACAAAATAAGAGATTACCTGTAATTACCCAATAGTCTCTGGTTGTTTCTGATATGTCAAGGTTGGGATATTCCAGTGCTAAAACAAATAAGAAACATACCCAATTACTTTTATAGGTTTGATTTGTTTCGTTTCATTTATTTAGTTATATTTGAGATGGGATCTTGATATGTTGCCCAGGCTGTTCTTGAACTCCTGGGCTCAAGTGGTCCTTGCACCTAAGCCTCCTGAGTAGCTGGACTATAACATGCATTATGGCACCTGGCTTATTTGAAATTTCATTAAGGAAAACAGGTATAAGTGACAAAATAGCAAGCGGCTAAATCCTGCTTTGTGATTCTTAGGGATCCTAGGACATATGAACCAAAACTATCTCACTGTTCAGAAAACTAAAAGACTCAATAAAGGTCCAACTTGTAGATGAAGAGTTTTCTAGGATTTGTGAGTTTCTGCCCTTTCCGTTTTTTCATCAAAATCTTCTGTTCAAACAGAACACCTTCTTTATCAAGACCCACAGCAGGAACCTGTCTTTGCTGTAGCTTTCTCTTTAAAAATCATCTGACCATCACTAACATTGTTAGGAATGATTATCTCCTGGATAGATTTTTTCAGTGTCAAGGACTTAAGTTTAGTAGCCACATGCTTGTAACAAAAGGCCCATATTTCTTTACAAGTATGGGGCCTACTGGAGTTGATACATGCAAAGGGATTTGTACATTGCCTGGCATATGGTTAGTGCTCAATAAATCGTAGTTGTTTTCAGAAATAAAAGGATGATGGAAAATAAAGTCTTCACATGCTGACATGTGACATAATGCCATCTTTTATGACATCATCTTTTCCCTAAAACCCAGAGTCATCTTTCCTTATTATGTGGACGTTTACAAAAGCTTGCCATTAAACAAACATTTGAAAAAAATTCTGAGTGGCTGCCATGTGCTAAGTACATTCACGCGTATTATCTTGTTTATTTACAGTATCAAAAACAACTACAGAAGGAAATTATGAGACAATTTTGCTAATATGTATTAAAAAATAAACTTGCCCAGTGACCTTGTGAAATGTAAGAATGTTTAAATTTAGGAGTACAAACCTTTCCATCCTTTGGCTACCAAATAAACATTTGGATACAAAATGTAACCTGCTGCATCTTCAAAATCTATGCCTGTTGCATGGTAATGAGGATAATGTAACTGAAACATTAGAAAAAGATGAGGCCACAAGACTACGGGGACCTCAGCAAGTGAAGTCACACCATGGACTGCAAATGAGTTATATTATGATATCTGGAGGCAGGACCGAGCCTCAAGGTCTGGGAACGTTTGCTGATGGCCTAAGTGGGAGAAAAACCATAGCAACCCAGATTGCTCAGAGATCGGTTGCCCTAGCAGGCAGAATTGTAAGCTCAGAAGGCAGACTGCTTGGGTTCAAAACCCAGGTCCCATGGCTCACTAGCTAAGTGAGAGTGGGTATCTTGTGAAACCTCTTAGAGCTTCAGTTTTCTCCTCTGCAAAATGGGGCTAATTTTGCATCTGTCTTATAGGGCAGGTCTGAGGATTAAATGAGATAAGAGAAATGCAAAGGACGAAGGCAACTAGCAAGTGCTTTCTTTGATGTACACTAAACTTTTCATCAATTCTTAGTCCATCACATATTTTAGCTGTCACCTTAATCCATCTGCCTCCTTAATCCATATTTAGCTGTCACCTTAATCCATCACATATTTTAGCTGTCACTTTATGATAAAGGTGGTAGTATGTGGCCTGGCACTATAAATGTTTGCTAAATGGAGAAAGGCCACAGGGGAAACACTGGGGTCCCCATAGGCATGGCCATACTCACGTTCAGCAATGGTTAGCGGCGGATAGGTGAGGTAGAATCCCACCAGCTCAGCCGAGAGCTGGCTGAGGAGGCTGCTGGCGACGGTGCCGTTGAGGAATGTGCTCTGATTGCCCACGACGTACACCAAGGTGACTGCCTGGGAGGCATTGGACGTGCTCACAATCTGAATCAACACAGGAGAAAAGGGGAGGGAGACAGGCCAAATAAGACCAGGGTGTGTTTCATGGAGGCCATGGGAGGGGGAGGCTAAGCAGGAGTTGAGGGAAGGAATGAAAGGGGGTCAGGGAAACAGCAAGGAACAGACAAGAGTAACCGTCATCATTTCTGATTGCTTGCTGTGTGCCAGGCAGGGTGCTAAGGGCACGTCATCTCATTTACTCCTTACCACAACCCTGGGAGATGTATCCAGTGATGACGCCCTTTCACAGATGAGGAAACCGAGGCCCAGAATGATCAAGGGACCAACCCGAGGTCACACAGCTAATAAAGGATAGACTCAGGATTTGAACCCAGGTGATTTGACTCCAGGTTCTTAATCACTGGTATGTGTATCTTTTCCTGGGCTAAATAGTCTCAGGTTACTTTTGTGATTCTGAAAATATAAAATAGAGCATTGGAATGTTACATTGAAGGAGGGCTCAACTGCTCAGATAGAGAAAGCCTGAGTCAAACTTTCAGGGAATTTGAAAGTTGAAAGGACCAGGAGCCAACAGAGCTGAAAACCAGTCTGGTCACGGGCAGAGCGACAGAACCTAATTAGAAAAGGAATTCAGAGGCCGGGCACGGTGGCTCACACCTGTAATCCCAGCACTTTGGGAGGCCAACGTAGGCAGATCACCTGAGGTTGGGAGTTCAAGACCAGCCTGGCCAACATAGCGAAACCCCATCTCTACTAAAAAAAAATACAAAAATTAGCCGGGCATGGTGGCATGTGCCTGTAATCCCAGCTACTCAGAAGGCTGAGACAGGAGAATCGCTTGAACCCAGTAGGCAGAGGCTGCAGTCAGCCGAGATTGCACCACTGCACTCCAGCCTGGGAGACAGAGCAAGATTCTTCAAAAAAAAAAAAAAAGAAAAGAAAAAGGAATTCAGAAATATAGAGTATGTTCTTTACAGAGCAATTACATTTCCTTGTGGTCTATTAATTCAACATTGAATGTGTAAAACATCCTATGAGATGGCACGGTTTTCTTTTCACATTTTGTCGAAGCTAGTTTTTCAGTTGCTGGAAAATGAAGCTTTCTGGGTCAATGTATGAACAAAAATATCCTACAGATGAGATTTGAAAAGCATCGTTAGTAGGAAGTCATTCAACTTGGTGAGGCCTTTTTTTGTGAATTTCTGTGCTGCGTGCCTTCCCTTCTCCCTCCAGACCCTCCTGCCACCCACCCTCTCTGCCCTGTCCGGTGCCCCTGGAGGCAGATCCTTGTGGACAACCCCAGTGGGCTCCACTGCCTTCGGGAGGATATGGGAGAGAGGGAGGAGGGTGAGGTCAAAGTATTGATGCTGAGGACTCCCTCCTCACGGGGTCAAAGCTCACTCCCATCAGGCAGCTGAACCTCGAACCCCGCACTCACCCCATCGGGTCCCAGCTGTTAGAGCCTTGGGTACCGTACTGCTCCTGCGGTTTGCCCAGAGCCTGCCCACTCTTCTTTCTACAAAGCCACCTTCATTTGAATGCAGCCTCCTTTTCCTGTCAGGACACTGACTAACACCCTGTCTTTCCCAGACCTTTGGGTGTTCACATATTAACATCTCTGCCACCTTCCTATTAAAAAAATTTTTTTACAGACTTTAAAAAATGATACATAATATTTATCTATATGTAGGCAGTACATGTGATATTTTCTTACACGCATAGAATGTGTAATGATCAAGTCAGGGTTTTTAGGAAATCCATCACCCAGGAAACTATTGGGAAGAGCTCTTCATTTTATTTCCCACTTTTTCCCATAAGTGGAAGATTGATCAATCGATCTCTCTCTCTCTCCCCCGCCTTTTCTCTACCCCGCCCCTTCCTATTTAGAGACAGGGTCTCACTCTGTCCCGCAGACTGAAGTGCAGTGACCTTATTGTAGCTCACTGAACCCTTGAACTCCTAGGCTTAAGCGATCCTCCCACCTCAGCCTCCTGGATAGCTGGGACTACAGGCACACGCCACCAGTCCCAGCTAATTTATTTCATTTTTGTAGAAACAGTATCTCACTTTGTTGCCCAGGCTAGTCTCAAATTCCTGGGCTCAAATGATCCACCCACCCCAGCCTCCCAAAGTACTGGGATTACAATTGTGAGCCACCATAACTGGTCCCTTTTTAATTGTTTAATCCAGAGCCTATATTCCCATGACTAACAATAAACTGAATCAGTATGTCCATTCAACTCTGACTCTCTTCTATGGAAGTATTTTTGGAATGTGGTTTAGCCTCTTCCCCAAGGCATGAATACCTGTGGCTAAGCATATTCTTTCCCAAGGTACCAAAAAGAAAGGCATTTCTTTCTGAACAATTTAAAAAACTTCACCATACGGCCACCTAAAAAAATAATAACTAAAAAAAAAAAAACTTTTCAATCTTTATCTCTATTGTGAACATTCTATTTTTACCTCTCAACAAAACCACATCCTGGCTGGGTGTGGTGGCTCATGCCAGTAATCCCAGCACTTTGGGAAGCCAAGGCAGATGGATCACTTGAGCCCAGGAGTTCAAGGCCAGCCTGGGCAACATGGCAAAATCCTGTCTCTACAAAAAATAGAAAAAAATTGCCAAGCATGATGTTGCATGCCTTTAGTCCCAGCTGCTTGGGAGGCTGAGGCAGGAGGATCACCTGAGCCCAGGAGTCCGAGGCTGCAGTGAGCCATGATTGTGCCACTGCACCCCAGCCTGGGAGACAAAGCCAGACCCTGCCTCTAAAACAAAATGAAACAAAAACCCAAATCCCACTGGAGCCCGAGGAAGCCTACAAAGTTTGCAATGTGGGTGCCTCTGTATATACTATACTTGACCAGTTAAGTTATAATTATTTTTTTATTGTGGTAAAACACACATATAAAATTTAACCATTTTAAGTGTATCGTTCAGTGGCATTAAGTGCATTCACACTGTTGTACAACCATCACCACCATCCATCTTTAGAACCTCTTTATCATCCCAAACAGAAACTCTGTACCCACTAAACAACTCCCAATTTCTCCCTCCTCACAACCCCTGGCAGCCACCATTCTACTTTCTAGATACCTCTTATAAGTGGAATCACTTATTAATTTGACAACTCTAGATATCTTTTATAAGAGAAATCATATAGTATTTGTCCTTCTGTGGCTGGCTTATTTCACTTAGCAAAACGTCCTCAAGGTTCATCCCTGTTGTAGCATGCATCAGAATTTCCTTTTTAAAATTTTTCTGCATTCCAATCATCCATTATTTCCTTCATTTTTAAAGGCTGAATAATATTCCATTGTATGTATATATGCCATTTGATTATCCACTCATTCATTAATGGACACATGGGTTGCTTCCACCTTTTGGCTGTTGTGAATAATGCTACTATGAACATGGGTGTATAAATACCTGTTTGAGTCCCTACTTTTAATTCTTTTTGGTATATAATGAGAAATGAAAGTGCTGAACCATATGGTAATTCTATGTTTAGTTATTTAAGAAACCACCATGCTGCCTTCCACGGGGGATGCACTATTTGACATTCCCACTAGCAATGCATTAGGGTTCCAATTTCTCCACGTTATCACCAACACTTAGTATTTTCCATTTTTTGAGAATAGCCATCCTAATAGATGTGAATAGGTATCTCATGGTTTTGATTTGCATTTCTTTAATGATTAGTGACGCAGAGCATCTTGTCATGTGCTTAAGTCATCTGTATATCTTTTTTGGAGAAATGTCTATTCAAGTCCTTTGCTCATTTCTTAATTGGATTTTTTTGTTTGTTTTTATTATTGAGTTGTAGGTATATTCTCTATATATTCTGAATATTAACTACTTACCAGATATATGATTTGCAAATATTTTTCATTTATTCTATGAATTGCTTTTTCACTCTGCTGGTAGTGTTTTTTGATGCACAGAAGTTTTTAATTTTGATGAAGTCTAATTTGCCTACTTTTTCTTTTGTTTGCCTGTGTCATGTCCAACAAATCATTGCCAAATACTGTGTGTCATGAAGTTTTTCCCCTATGTTTTCCCATAAAAGTCCTACGGTTTTAGATATTACATTTAGATCTTTGATCCCTTTGGAGTTACTTTTGGTAGATGGTGTTAAGTAAGGATCCAACTTCATTCTTTTGGGATCACATGTGAATATTCAGTTTTCCTAATGTGTTAAAAAGACTGTCCTTTCCCCATTGAATAGCCTTGGCACCTCTGTCAAAAAACATTTGACCATATACAAGAGGGTTTATTTCTGGGCTCTCTCTTCTATTCCATTTGTCTAGATGTCTGCCTTTATGCCAGCACTACATTGTTTTGATTACCATAGCTTTGTAGTAAGTTTTGAAATCAGGAAGTATGGGACCTCCAACTTCGTTCTTCCTTTTCAAGATTGCTTTGGCTACTCAAAGCCCCTTGAGATTCCATGGGAATTTTAGGGCTAATTTTTCTATTTCTGTGAAAAACAGTCACTGGGATTTTGATAGGAATTACATTAAATCTTCAGATTCCTTTGGGTAGTAACAATCAATATAAAGTCTCCCAATCCATAAGCACAGGAAGTCTTTCCATTTATTTGTCTTCTTTAATATACTAATTTTTTGTAAGAAAAATTAGTAAGAAAAATTGTAAGAAAAATTAGGTAAGAAAAGTGAGGTCATTCTTGATGTATACTTAAGACTAGCTCCAAAAATAAGAGGCCTACGGGTTCAAAGTCATGGCACTGATCCCTGAAATTCATGCCCTGTCCCCCAATAGAAGCAGTCCCTACAGGGAACACTTTCCTGTCACTCTTTAACTCTTAGATTCCTGTAGCCTCTAACCTCATCTCTTACTTACCCCTCACTCATGCCATGATTCATTTAGCTAAGAAGACCTATAGGCTGATGGAACAGAAAGCTGTTGTTTGCCTACCCAGCATCCATCCTCCCTTCTTGATAGCATCACAATTTTCCTCAGGGAACCATTTCTCCTCTTTGCTCATGTGTTCTGGATGGGGCTGCCCCACCCAAGTTTCAGGAGTAGTCAGGCCTAGTTCATTGGGACATTTAACCTCCTTGGCCCAGAAAGGGCACAGTAGGTTCAATGAGAGCTAATCCCAGGCATTTTACTGGAATGACACCAGGAAAGGCACTTTGGTTCCACAAGACTGTGAGCAACAAGGATGAGACAAACCTGGGGTTGTGAGCGGCCACCCCATGGGAGCCACGGACAATGCCCGTGCAGAGCAAAGCCAACGAAGACAGGAAGAGAGAGCTTGATGAAATCAAATAATCACCTGGATACAACTGTGTCGGAATAAATGTGAACCTTTCAGTTACATGAGCCAATCACTTCCTCTTTTTGCTTAAGCTTCATCAGCTTAGATTCTGTCCCTGGCAACCAAACACGTCCTAATTGAGTCCACTGTAATCTAGTCCCTAATACCAAACCTATACAAGTTGTTAAGTCGATTTTTCAATGACTATCTGAGCAAATTAATTAAATATTTACATGGTCTTATTCTACAAAGGATTCAAGGTGTCTTACAAATTATATATTATCCAATAAAAGGAAAAGTTATTAATTACAAAAACAGGCCCTGGTGAAAGACAGCCCCAAGGGAATGTCAGCATGAAGTTACCATGCATAATATAGGGGCCCTGAGGGTTACTAAATCCAGGCAACAAATTTGGCTCTGGGATTCCTGTCAGCCGAGGCAAAAATGGAAACAGGGTTAATAAAAAACAATTCATCCAATTATCCATTCATTTCAAGAGCTGTTTAAATGTTCAAGAGCATCTAAAATCTATTTAGATGTAATCTTCGAATCACCTCCTATCATCTTTTCCAAGGAAGGTTTGTTACTTGATTTATAAAGTTTCCTCTAATGGCCCACAACTACCATACAACAACACAAGGAGGCTTCTTAAGGCCAAGGGCAGCTTATCTTGGTGTCCTTCCCAGTGCCTGATAAATAGCAGATACTCAATAAGTCTGTGCTTCCTGAATACAATTAAAGTATGCTGTGCTGCCAAGATCTAACTAGGCTCATGCACCTGTGAGGATCACAAATCCAATCAGAAAGAAAAAGAGTTCCCACAAGAGAGCTGAGTCACACTCCTTACATAAATCTTCAGTCTGTGACACATTTTTAGATCTTCGTCTAACATGAACCAAATCATAATGAGATACTTCCATCTACACTTTGGATGAATCTAGAACAGGAAAGCTGCTCACTCAAGTTAAATTGTATGCTTTCTACATCATATTGGCTTTGCTGATAATTCACTTACGCTAAATGTCCATTTTAAAACCACTGGGTCTAATTACAAAGGCTTTATAGTTCAGTAGTCAAAACAGAGACATTGAAAAGAAGAGTTAATTGGGGGCTAGATGAGTATCATTAAGAAGCATCTGTCTTTAGTGGGATGATATCTACGTAGTTGCAAAAAAAAAAAAAAATACAGCGCACCAGGTGTGGTGGTTCATGCCTGTAATCCCAGCACTTCGGGAGGCCGCGAAGGGAGAATTGCTTGAGCCCAGGAGTTAGAGACCAGCTTAGGCAATATATGGAGACTCCATCTCTACAAATAATTAAAAAATTTTTAAAAGGGCTGTTTAAATGTTTAAAAGGGCTGTTTAGAGCATCTAAAATCCTGTCCCCCAATAAAAGCAGCCCCTACAGGGGACGCTTTCCCATCACCCTTTAACTCTTAAGACTCCTGTAGCTTCTAACCTCATCTCTTACTTCCTCCTCACTCATGCCATGATTCATTTCCCAGGGATTTTCCCTGGGAAAGAATTCTGTTGTTTGACACAGGCTTCATTAAGGACCCCATTTCTACACTGCATTGACGTGAGTATGGTGTAGTGGATTGACTCAGGTCCTTCTTCCATTCTTTACCGTGTGACCTTCTGGAAGTTTCTTAGCCTCTCAGTTCTCTCTTCTGTGAAATGGGAGTAAGAATACCTCAGAAGGATGTCTTAAGTATTAGGTAGGAAAATATTTGTAAAACACTTAGCACAGTTCCTGGCACATAGTAAAGACTTCAATATAAAACGCATGTGTGTGTGTGTGTGTGTGTGTGTGTGTGTGTGTGTGTGTGTGTGTGTGTTGGCATGTGTCTAAACTAAGGCAACTGGAATATAAGCCAATGCATAAAATCACAGAACGGGCAAATCTTGGTGACTTAGCTACTTAGAATTGATTCATTTATTCATCTTATATTAGAAATTTGACATATACAGTACAGCCTAGTTCAACTTTTCAAAATAATAAATGTATTAGAAAGGCCTCAGAAAGCATCCCATGGGGAAAGAAATATAAAACCCCAAACCACAATAGGTGCACAGTGACACAGCATCCCTCCTGTCATGGCCATACCCCAGACATCCTCACCAATGTCTGAAGTACAAAGTTACATTTATACATGGTAGCTCTGAAAGGGAAGACCCAAGTCATTTCTTGCCAGACTCTGCATTGTGGTTGTCTGTCAACTACACAGCCTGAAGCACCTTCCTCCCTACCTGAATTGTCAAGTTGCTTTTGGTATTCAGGACTTTCCTCTCGGCATCCTGGAATGCCTTCTGCAGCCTCTGTTCCATTGTCTGAGCAAACTTGCAGGACTGTATGTTGTCCGCTTGGCTCACAAACTGCAGCACTAGAATGAGAGAAGTCAATCAGTGCTCACTAAAGCTCCATGTCTCAGTTCCTTGGATTTAACAGTGGTCATAATATAAAACAGCACGATTTTAGATGAGAGGAATTAGGCAAATAAATAATAAGGCCAGACAAGGTTTGCTTGTAGTTTTGAAAGTGGCTCCTAAGATGAATTATATAACACAGAAGAATTAAAAGCACGATCGAACCAGAGATTCCCTCCAATGCAAAAGATTTTATGATTTTATTTGATTGGAATATGTAGACATCTGCTCAAAGACTGACAAATCACAATCTAAGAGAGATCATGCCTTCTATTTCTTTGGAGGGAAGAAAATCATTGACCTCCATTGCTAAGTTGATTGAGTGTTTCGATTTTAAGAGTTCCTCCACTCTTGTAGGTTACAAACTTTGCAGACCCGAAATCACCAGAGAGTTTGAAAAAAATATATTCGAAGACCTAAACTCAGAGATTCTCATTCAGTGGTATCTGGAATCCATTACTCCAAACCACAGATTTTTTTTTTTTGCATGTTCAACTATTATTAGTACCCACTGATAATATAGAAAGAAATATAAAATATAGTACCTGGAGCTCAAAAGTACTAAGTTTGTAAATTGGGAAGGAAGGCTCCTATGATAGAACATTTCTAACAAATCTAGGGTTGGAAGAGTTTAGGCTGATGTGCAAGGAACTGGGACATTTGATTAGCAGGACCCTTTGAAGAAGGTTCACAGGGACTAAAAAATGACACAGCAGCTAGCAATGGAGCTTTTAAACAGGTGTCCACTTGGTACTGGCCCTGAACCCAAGAATGGATGAAAATCCCTTCCTTCCGAGTCACTTGCCTGTTTTTAGCTGGAAGTAGCCTGCAGGCTGGGGATTCCATGGGGAGGCAAGTACTGCCACAGACTGTAAGTGTGGGGTGTGTTGCTTCAGGTCTGCAGTGACGTTGCTGACTCCATACACACCCAGCATTTCGATCACCACAGCAGGCAAATACACCAACTTCCCTTTGGTAGCATAATAACCAACTGTGACATTATGAGAATATTCCAGAATGTCCACCTACAAAACAAATGGACCCACAAAACCCATTGTTTATTTCCACAGCACTTTAAGTTCTTCCTGGTATTTCTTAGAACCACGGCTGTTAGAAACAAGACTGGAGAATAGAATGTTCTCGTTCAACAAATATTCTTAACAATTCTATAAAGCATAGTTTGGATTGGCAAGTCTCAAAATATCACAAAAACAACAAAATATAATTTACATCAAACCTTCATGGTATAGAATTAAATCTGTATCTTTTTTATTAAGTGCCTCAGTATAATCCTGTGACCATCAATTATTATTACCAAAAAGGTAGGGAGGAGAGAGTAGTTCAAAGAGATTTTCAGTGAATGAAATGCTGGGGAAAATCACTTTCTTATATTTCTCATCATTTATGAGAATTAAAAGGTAGAAATGATAGATTAAGTGGGGGAACCTTGGGGGCACCGGTCAAGGAGTAAGTAAAGTGAATTCCTCTTTCTAGAAGCAGAGAGAAGACTTGTTCAGACTCTGTCCTTGGCTTGTAAATTGGTTCAAGACCAAGGCAGGATGCACCAGAGAATTTCTCTGACAGCTGAATCCTAGGGGACACTGATGGTCTGAGCTCTTTCTGTCTCAACTGCAAGATTTTCAGGCTTTAGATTTTATTCTTATTTTTTCTTTTTTTCTTTCTTGGTGTTACATATTTACAGTTCAGGGTTTTTTTTTAATTTGTTTTGGTTTTTATATATTAAATATAATGTTTATTACAGAATCTGTATATTTGAAAAACAGAGAAAAGAGTAACATATATACACATACGTATATGTATGCAGCTCCTTTTTTTCCAAGTTTTTATTGTGGTAAAAAACACACAATATACAATCTACCATCTTAACTATTTTTTAGTGTGCTGTTCAGTGCTATTAAACACATTCATAATGGTGTACAGCTATTACTACTATCCATTTCCAGAACTCTTTTCATCTTGTAAAACTGGAACTCAGGGTTTCATTTTGTGTTTTTTTTTTTTGTTTCTTTTTTTGTTTGTTTTTTTTGTTTTTTGTTTTTTTGACAG
The DNA here is from genome assembly GCF_000001405.40 of Homo sapiens. Classification (NCBI taxonomy): domain Eukaryota; kingdom Metazoa; phylum Chordata; class Mammalia; order Primates; family Hominidae; genus Homo; species Homo sapiens. The sequence continues at coordinate 33,549,997 of NC_000011.10, read as the reverse complement.
GGTCTTGCTCTGTCACCCAGACTGGAGTACAGTGGCATGATCACAGCTCACTGCAGCCTTGACCTCCTGGGCTCAAGCATTTCTCCCACCTCAGCCTCTCGAGTAGCTAGGACTACAGGTGTGTGCCACCATACCTGGCTAACTTACATATGTTTTGTAGAGATGGAGTTCTCACTACGTTGCCCACGCTGGTCTCAAACTGCTGGCCTCAAGTGACCCTCCCACCTCGGCCTCCCAAAGTGTTGGGATTATAGGCATGAAACACTGTGCCCGGCCAGGAAGTTTTTGACACCTGCTTTCTCCCCATATTCTTGCATCTCCATGTGTATTTTCCAAAGGAAGCAAGACAACTGATTTTGCAACAGGATGGGTGTGCCTTTGCTTCCTCCACATTGTGTGCTCCCGGTCAGTTTTTCATGAAGATGGTGCTCAAGATGATTTTAGGTGGAACAAGAGGTATTTCAGCATGGAACGTGGACACAGCACAAGACAACACTAAATCAACTAAATCACTCAGTGAGAAAGTTGTTCCCTTTCAACCCTTCTAATGACCCCAAGGAATAAGTCTCAGTTTAGTGAATATTTGCTTTTAACATCTCTCTAACCCTTGCTAATTCCTTTTTTAAATAAACAAACAAACAAAGGGATACCAGGCTCAGCCTTAGAGCCTTCTGCAAGCAACAACCTCTAGCCTGAATTTAACAAGCTGTTTGGTTTCCATTATTCTCATTCTTACCATCACCTTTTATTTGTGGCAAATGATTTTGATTTCCATTTATGGTGGTAATATCAAATGCCCTTTCAAAAAAATGTGCTTAAGTTTTTAAAACAGAATCCATAAAAAAAAAAATACTCATTGTCACACTGGTCTGTAAAGATATGCAGCAAAGACCAAAACTGTAAAAGCAGTTTGAGAATGTTTGAAGATTAGTGAAAATTGTATCAGGCAATTAAATGGAAATATTCACATTTTCAACTTCCCATAAAGTTTCTGGTGCAGAAATCATAAAAGCCTCTCATATAATGCATTTCTTTTTTCTTCTTTTTTAGAAATATATAAAAGAGATCGACAATGATCAATAAAGTATGTGCCGAATCTCCTTTCTAGTCCTTGGTGTTGATGGGAGGGAGGGGGTCAGTAAGCTGACTGCAGCTGTAGGACAGAACATCAAAAGAAGAAGCCACAGCAATAGTTTTTAGTGGTGCAAATGGGAGTCTACTGACTGCCAACTGCATTTACTGTTTGAAAACTTGGAATCAAACCCAAAGATGTAAAGTGAAGCTTCCATCTCTTGGATAAGACATCAAAATCAGCCAGCACTCATTAAACAGTACTTGGCATTAAAAGAAAAAATGTTACTTCCCTGTCTGCAGTGGGCAATTTAAGCAAAGTCGGACTCGATTTACAAGTCAGGATAATTTTTAAATGTCCAGAAATAAATCACTGTTTACAATAGTGATGAAAATAAGGGGAAAAGCAATGGAGAGTTTTCTAGAAAATTACATGAACAATGTAAATACTTTCCCCAAACGATGGGATAATGGGATGGTTTAAAACAATATATCCAGGCTTGTTTGTTTGTTTGTGTGTGTGTTTTTGAGGCAGAGACTCGCTCTGTCACCCAGGCTGGAGTGCAGCGGCATGATCTCAGCTCACTGCAACCTCCACATCCTGGATTCAAGCGATTCTCCTGTCTCAGCCTCCCGAGTAGCTGGGATTACAGGCACCTGCCACCACGCCCAGCTAATTTTTGTATTTTTAGTAGAGACGGGGTTTCATCATGTTGCCCAGACCGGTCTCAAACTCCTGACCCCAAGTGATCACCTGCCTCGGCCTCCCAAAGTGTTAGGATTACAGGTGTGAGCCACCCACCTGGCCAATATATCCAATCTTTAAAAATAAATCTAGACATAAAGCAATTAGTCTCCATTTTCCATCTCAAAATTTGACCTTTTTCTCAAGCCACTACACATTAGCTAGTTGCCAAAGTGAAGACAGATTCTACTTCTGGCCAGTGTTGTTATGATCCCTAGAAAGGAGGAAAACAATCTAAACATATTCTAGACCCAAGAGCCAGACTGTGATGGATTAGCTTGGTTACAAAGCAAAGCACTTACGTGAGCTGAGACATCGTTCTGGTGGAAAGCCTTCCGCAATGCCTGTGTGAGCCCTTTGGCGATACTGAACTTCAAGGATTCACTGATCTGCACTCTCCTTTGGGTGAGAAAGAGAACTGTGGGGTAAAATAGAAGCATGGCAATCAGGCAAGGCGACAAACCTCATCATTCACTTGCCCTCTGCTCCTCCCAACCACCACCTTCTGCAAGTTCTGGGCAGAGCCGGTAAGCACAGGGCCATCATTGAGGGGGTGCGCTGGGGTGGTAGCTCTGTGGGTCCCGCTAAAGTCCTAAGGAAAGAAGGCCCTAGCCATTTGTGTGACCCGAGTAGAGAGAGAGCTGGTATGCTGGTGGCGTTTCATTTCTGACAGATGCTGCCTCTGACTTTGAAAGCCGGCTCGACAGTGCATGCGATGAGATTCCTGCAACAACATTCATGGACAGCCTCCTTAGGTGCAGGCCCTGAGCTCGGTGCTGCGGCCTCAAACAACCCTGGATCAGGAAGGTGCCATCCCCACCTCGCAAGTGGGATGGAGACAAAGGACAGAGAACAGGTATTTGGGATTGAATGTGACAGGTATTGTTTGAAGGGAAGCCTAGGACGCTGCCAGAGCTCCTAGGAGGAGCACCCAGCCCTGAGTTTGGTAAAGGGATGGGGATCAGGGAAAATTTCCATAGGAACTGATGCTTCAGCTAAGTTCTGAAGGATCACAAGAGTGAAATCTGACAAGGAGGAAGAGATTGCCCTCACCCACTCTCAGCAGAGGGAGTACCAAGCGCAAAGGCGCAGGGGAAAGAAGCAAAATATTTCAGTATACAGCAGTTCCCTCTTAGCCACAGTGTTCTTTCCATGGTTTTATTTACTGCAGTCAACCACAGTCTGAAAATAGGTGAGTATGGTACAATAAGATATTTTGAGAGAGTCAAAGAGAGGGAAAGAAAGACCACATTCACATCACTTTTATTACAGTCTATTGTTATACTTGTTCTATTTTATTACTGGTTGTTGTTGACCTTGACTGCACCTAACTTATAAATTAAGCTTTATCATAGGTATGCATGAGTAGGACAATTCATAGTTGACATAGGGGTTGGTACTACCTGCAGTTTCAGGCATCTACTGGGGGTCTCGGAATAGATCCCCTGCAGATAAGAGGGGACTACTGTATATACAAGTTTAAGCTTGGTCCTAAGGGCAATGGGAAATGAGTTTTAAGCAAAGGAATGCATTTTAGAAGGTTCTTGACTACAGACTGGAGAACAGATTGAAGAGGTGGGACTCTGAAGGCAGAGAGATAAATGTGGCTGTTGTTACAGAAATTTAGGTGAGTGATGATGACAGTGTGAACTAGGGAAGTGGCAGTGTGAAATAGGATGGAGAGAAGGGGTATCCAGGAGGTAGAAGTGAAAGGAACTGGTGATTGATTAGATGTAGCTGGGTTGGTGGGGGGGCTGGGAAGAAGACAGAGAAGAGAATGTTTCCAACTTCTGCCTCTGAGGGGCCAGGGCTGCCTGCCACCCAGAGGAGAGTGGAATGGAGCAGGGACAGAGAGTGGAAACCCAGATGGTATAATTTCTTGAGAAACAGAGAGAGATACTGTAATTTTTGTTATGCCTAATTTCATAATTTCCCATTTTAGAATAGGATATGTCTCAAGATATGATTTCATTTAATTCTTTGTGGGGTGAGGAGGAAGGCAGGATGTGAGCATTCAACATTGGCATGCTCTTTCAAATAATTTGTCTAATTTTTTTTATAGCAAACATTGCCACACTATTAAAAGCTCTCCATGCATTCTAGGCCTGCTTTGCTACAGCTGGGGAATGGGGGCTTAAAAGACAGCATTCCATCCTTGCTCACAATTCTGGTGCTGCCCATCCCACTTTTTCAAGAAAGTCTTTCTAACATCAAAAGAAATCCTGGGCTCCCACATAGTGTGCAGAAGCTGTGCTTTTGCTATCAGCTAATTGAAAAAATGCATGACAAAAGCCTTTCTGAACTCTGTAGCACTTCCCAAGATGTTGTATCTTACAAACCACATCATTCATTCATGTGAGACATCATTGATGCAAAATGGTACCTTTGCATTCTTAGACCCACTGGCAGAACCATGGTTTCCTGGGACTTCTGATATCAGGACTGATCCTAGGACTAGAATCCATGCCACATCAGGCCCTCTCTCCTCTAACACTTGCTAAAGCTCATGGTTTCTCAACTTTGGCCCTATGGATGTTTTAGGCTGGATAAATCTTTGTTGTTGGGGCTGTTCTGTGCATTGTAAGATGTTGAGCAGTATCCCCAGTCTCTATCCCACCAGATTTTAGTAGTATCTCCAGCCATCAAGCATAACAACCAAAAATGTCTCCAGACATAGCCAAATGTCCCTGGGGGAGGGTGGAAAAATGTCCCCTGGTTGAGGACCACTGATCTAAAATAAACATTATGGTTACATCTCTGAGGCCAGGCTTGCTGCTTTCAGATCAGAACAGTGGTCTCATACCTGTCTTCACCAGGAGCTTACTGGACATCTGACACTCCAGGTTGGATGCCATTTTGCCAGTCGTGACCACTGCAGCCGATGCAGCAGGAAGGACAGCATCTGTGTTTTCTGCTCGCAATGGTGGCAACCGGGTGGCCTTCACTGAGGCTGTAATGGATGTCAGCGCGGCCGTGACTGTCAGTGGGCGTGGCGTGGATGCTCTGGGCATCTCCAGGTTGGTGGGGTTTGGGAGGCCGGTGTGCATGGCTTGTGGTTTCCTGGGGAGGTAAGTTGTAGACAACAGGCCAGAGGCAGTGTCCATGTTTCCTTGCATGGCTGTATGTGTGCTCGTGGTATGTCCTGTTCTTGCATACATGTAGGTTGGTGTGAATGGGAAGGCTGTATGGACTGCCCCTGGTGTCCTCTTTGGGCCAGATGCGGCCTTGTTTGTGACATTTTTAGCAAGAGTAGTCATCGAACTGCTCTTAGCTGGTCCTGAGGCCACGGCCAAAGGGCTGCTGCTGGTGCCCTTAGCAACCAGGGCTGCAGAC